>NC_000002.12:19327937-19479452 GCF_000001405.40 Homo sapiens | reverse complement strand
CCCACCTTGGCCTCCCAAAGTGCGGGATTACAGATGTGAGCCACTGTTCCCAGCCAAAATATCTAGGTTTTTAGGTAATGGTTCCATGAAGAAGCATAGAATTAGTAATAATGCACTGATTACTGCTTCAGAAAACCACCTCGATACACTAGAATTGCCACAATTTACCTTGCCCACTTTAGCGAAGATCAGATTCTCATGAGAATCAGGGGAAGGAAGGTAGAGTCCACTAGGGGTAGCAAGGAGACCAAAAGGGGAAAATTCCAAAAAATGGAAAGTGAGTAGACATCAAAATTTTCTTTATGTTTACCATTAAGAATGCTTTCAAAAGGCATCATAAAAATATGGGAGGCAAACTAAAAAAAAAAAAAAAATGTGTTAGTTTCAGCTCTACCATTTCATAGCCATATAACATTTGATAAGACAATCTTACTAGTTTCTTCATCTGTGCAGTGGATATAATAATATTTGCCTGGCTTGTTTACTTTAGAGATATGTATCTACATGGAAATCTGAGTAGATGTTATATTTAATAAGCTTTGTCCTCTATAGAGAAGAAATAACTGTGCCTAACAATAATTGTATGAAACATGATAATTAAGAAAGACCTATGTTCCTTAAATGACAAGTGGTCTTACTTTCTATTTTAAAAGATAGGCATCTTTCCAAACTTAATAGATCTTTTTCTGTCTCTTCCTTTTTTCCCCCAGGAATAATTTAGGCAGTGACTACTACAATTGCATTTATCTTCAAGTCTGACCTAGAACTTAAGTCTGTAGCTGAACTTTTGTGTAACTTATTAGTCATTGAGCATTGCAGAAGATCGAGTACTTGGTAAATGAGATGTACATGCATTATGGTTTGAAAATTTATCCCCTCCAAAACTCATGTTAAAATTTAATCCACAATGAGGCAGTATTCAGAGGTGGGGCCTTTATGAAGTGATTGAGTCATGAAGGCTCTGCCCTCCTGGATGGATTAATCCATTGATGGGCTAATGCATTAATGTGTGAATGGATTGATGGGTAATCATGAGAATGAAACTGGTGGCTTTATAAGAAGAGGAAGAGAGACCTGAGCTAGCACAGTCAGCCTCCTTGCCATGTGATGCCCTATGCCACCTTGGGACTCTGAAGAGGGTCCCCACCAGCAAGGAGGCTCTCACGAGATATAGCCCCTCAGTCATGGACATCTCAGCCTCCCTGATTGTAAGAAATCCATTTTCATTTCTACCCAGTCTTAGGTATTCAGTTATAAGCAACAGAAAATAGACTAAGACAGTGTAGCAGTGGACTGTGGATAGTAAAAATCAAAGGATGATAATGTGGCCCCTGTTCTTGAAAAATTCCAAGTCCTACTGAGAAGACATTTGTTTAATCATTATTTATTATTTCAATAAATATTTATCAAGCCTCCCCATGTTCCAGGTATTGTTCTAGGTGCTAAGATTACAGCAGAGAACAAACGTTTTTTAAATGAAGCTTTCATTTTTGTGAGACTTTAATCAAATGTACAAAACAAGAGTAAGTTTTTGAAACATAAGTCATTACTAAATCATGTGATACAGAGGATTAGTGATGTTCGAAGGCAAAGGAGAAAAGATGAATGTGAGGGTGTTGGTTGAAAAATGCAACTTTCAATAAATTACATCTTAAGCTGGATCTGAAGTTTAGAAGAAATCTTTCAAATGAAAGGAAGAAATACAAGGAAAAGACTCTAGAGTAAGCATGATTTATTTGTAGACATAGAGGAAATTTGCTTGACTTAAACAACAGGTATATTTTGGAGAATTGGTGAATCCAACTGGAGAAGTACTGTGAAAAACTATGACAACTAAACTGAGAAATTTAGTTTCAATGGAATTGGGAGTAAAGGGCCATGGAAAGTTCTGGGTGGAGTGGTGGTCAAATATTGGTGATATAAGGGTGTGTAATGTAATGAGCATTGTCTTTAGATAATATGGATTTGGTGCACTCAAAATTCAGGCCACAGGGAGAATTACACATGAATTTTTATTTTCAAAGGCCCACACACTCTGAAGATTGTAAATTACCTGGAAAATTGATTATTTGTATAATCTTGACAAGTCTGCATAAAAAATAATTTCCCCTGAAATCCAGATTACTAACTTAATAAAAAGAATATGTTTGTCTTAGTTTCTAAGCTATGTAGTTACATAGAGCTGTGTACATTCACCTTCATGACATTTACATGTGGGATAATGGATGTGGATTTAATGCAATGATTAATGATTTGTTCACTTGGAGTTACCAAGTCATGTTTCTATTGAAGGTGGGGGACTAAAAATAGGAGTTTAGATTTTTTAGGAACAATCTCATCACACACAGAGAGAAAGGGGTTGGAGAATCAATTTAGGAACACTTTTCTTTTTCTTGATCCAGTGACCAAAGGCAGATTGGCAAGTGGGCATTATTTTTCAGAGATGCTTAAGAACTTATTATTGAAAAGATAACCAGCCCTCTATTGAGAAGTCAGACCATAGCAGCCATGTGTTTTATAAGCCTTTGCTTTGTTTCAAGGTGGAGTGTTCCTCACACCATTAAATTTGGAGTTGGTTAGGGATAATGTGGTTCAGGTTTTCCCATAATTGTATGGGAATTCCCTGGGTGAAATGTATGGGTCTGGGAAAGATCAGATCTGACTATGCTCAATAACTTCTGACTTTCAATTCATCAGAATGCCCAGTGGTCTCTCCTCATATATCTCCTCATCAAGCTTTAAGTTGGTAAAGTTTTTCATAGATAAAACGGTGCTTCTCACCGTGGGCTGCCAATGAAATCCAAAAGGAATAGAATGTGTGTTTGGTCAATGGAATTGGCAAACAGAGCAGGCTTCTGGGGCATCTGGACATTGTTCATACTGAAACCTCTTATTTGTTCATTTAGAAATGAACAATCAGGAAAGCTTCTACATTTGGAGGATGTTTGCAAAATGTGTTCTCTCAGGTTGAATTTGGCTACAGTCCCATGTGAAGCAGTTGCACTTTTTACTCAACAGATTTTGGATAAACCAGGGAAGCTTGGCTCCTCATATGGTCTGATCTTTGTTGCATTGCCCATTTTTGCAGATTCTGACATCTGGAATGTAAATTAGAACTACATATTTAATATTTCTGTTTAATGTTTATTATTGGGCTCCCCTGAAGATTGTTATTTGGAATTGGCTACCAAGGGCCTGTTATTCTAATTGACAGAGCTCTCATCCAGCTTACTAGTTATTCCTTTCTCTCCCTCAGTACACTAAGAAAGAGGTGGTGAGCTTTTTCAATTTTCACTGAAAAGAGTAAGTGAGCAGAGATCTGTAAGTTGACTTTTTTGCCTGGCAGTTGATAAATGTTCACTGAATGAATAATTCTAGAGTCTTCTAGGACATTTCTGTGTAGAAACTTCTTATTTACATTCTAGAAACTTTGGAGAACCAATGTTGGTTCTGCTAAACAGTATTCTGGTCCTCAATGCCTAGATTCACCAATTTAGACCCCAGACACACCAAGTTATGCACCTTGCTTTACTAAATTCTATAAAGCTTAGTCAATGAATACTAGACAGACATATGGCTATTGGGAATGCAGTTATATGGAGCTGTGTACATTGACCTTCATGACATTTACATATGGGATAATGGATGTGGATTTAATGCAATAGTTCATGGTTTGTTAACTTGGAGTTATGAACTCATGTTTCCATTGAACGTTGGGGACTAAAATAGGAGTTTCTAAGAAATAACTTCTACTCTTGAGTGGCTATATTAGTTTGTTAGGGCTGCCATGCAAAATAGCACAGACTGGGAGGCTTAAACAACAGAAATTTATTGTCTCACAGTTCTGGAGGCTGGAAGTCCAAGACCAAGGCGTTGGCAGTATTGGTTTCTTCTGAGGTCTCTCTCCTCAGCTTGAATATGGCCACCTTCTCACTGCGTCTTCACATGGTCTTTCCTCTGTGAACGACCTCTCTGGTATCTCTGTGTCTTAATCTTCTCTTCCTATAAGTACATCACTCAGATTGGATTGGGATCCACCCTAAGGACCTCATTTACCTAAATTACCTTTTAAAGACTCTATCTCCAAATACAGTCACATTCTGAGGTACTAGGGGTTGGGGCTTCAACATATGAATTTGGGGGTAGGGGCACAATTAAGCCTATAACAGTATTTCCAGTAGTAGAGGGGAAGCGATACATCTAATGACTATTATAGAAGCATGGAATCAGCCAAACATAATGAGCAAAGTCCCATGGGGATTGAGAAACCAGAGTGCTCCAGTCTATTTGGAAGAAGCTTTATGGATGAGATGGTTCTGAGATGGACATTGAAGAAGAGATTTAAAAGAACAAACTATTAAATTGAATTATGTGAAATTTCAGTTGTTTAGATCAAATATAAGCAATTTCATATGGTATAACATATTTATTTTTGTACTCATAGTATAGGGCAAATGCTGGCAATTTTCTTATCTATAATATTAAGAACCGGATGGTAAATATTTTAGGCTTTGAGGGCTATGTGGTCTCCTTCACAACTACTCGACTCTACTGTTATAGTGTGAAAATATCTATGGATGATACATAAATAAATGTATGATGTATTCCAATAATACTTTATTTACAAAACCAGACAGCAGAAGTAACTAGTTAGTAAAAGAGTCAGGACAACTTAGGCCCCCTGACTCACAGACTAATGTCCTTTCCTTTATGCCACACTAATTTTATTTCCTAGGAACTAGTAAGTTTCCAAGTGAATATTGGAACTTTTTTTTTTCAATTCATAAAAGCCCATTTGGGAAAATAAAAACTTCTAAAACTGCCAAGAAAAAAGACAGCGGGCTGAATTTGCCTTCTGGGCCATAATTTGCTTACTCTTGTGTAGGGAAACTTTAAATTCCCTAACTTTTCTATTTGCTGAAACATGTCTTCCCTGATCCTTTCACACCCCTGTGCCGATCACGGAGTTACTCTTCTGTGACATGTCTATCCCTTGTTCATTCCGAAGTAGAGCCTTTCAACATGCAGAGACTGCAAAGAGCAGAAAATGCCTTGGCCCCAACTCAATGTTGTCATGTGGTAACAGACCACAAACCTAAGCCACTTCCGCCTTGTTGTTGAACTCTTGGCACATGTGTGTTGCGTTTCTATTTTATTGGCTCTTTAGTGGAACTGCAAAAAGATTTGTGGCCTCCTTTCATCTAGCGAGAGAAAACAAGCAACCACTTCTCTTTTCACAACCTAAAATCCTCCTTGGTATCCGTATTGCAGAAGGGACCTTTTCACAGTGTCAGATCTTTCCAGATAACTGAGAATTTCCGTAAATAAAAACAAATAATTCATTGTGGCTATAAGATTTATAAAATGTACATAAATCTCCCTGTCTTTATAGAAAGAGGAAACTGATTATAACGCAACCTTATTGGGAAGACTCTGCGGTATCACTGGGGACTCCTCGCTTACTAGTTCTTTACAATCATTTATAGTGTGGCTGCTCCATGCCTTTCTGGGACCTGGGGTAGAATAGTGACCAAGCTAGGCAAGATTCCTCTTTTCATGGAGGTTTCATTCAAAGGGGAGAAGCAGGAAATAAATAAGCAGAAAAGCATATAAATCAAATAAATTCAAGTGGTAATTATTTGTAAAGAAAATAGAGCATTTGTAAAGAAAATGCAGATTGAGAGTGGCTATTTAAGAAAGAGTGAAGGGATGGAGAACAGAGAAGGGGCTGGCCGTATGAAGTGTTGCCTTGGAGTTTCACAGGCAGAGGCAAGGGCAATGCAGAGGCACTGAACTGAGAACAGGCTTGGTGCGTCGCGGATCAGCAAGGCCATTGCGGCTGGAATGGATGAACTGAAGGGATGGAAGTAGAGGGCAAGGTGGAAAAATCTGCTCTGAGACAGTGAGGCCCCAGGACACACTGAGCAGTTAAGGCTCTGTCCCAGACCAAAATAGCCTCAGACAGCTGCGTTTCTTAAAGTCCCTGTGTCCTTTTAACATGTTTTCCTTGCCTTTTCTACCAAGTTAGCTTAGGCCACTCTGTTAATTTTCTGCTTTAATCTCTGGGATGAGAAACTAGATAGTTAATTTAAACAATGTAGTAAAGTCAAATTGAACTCTAAATGGGGGTGTGAAAAACTTTTCCATGAATAAAGTTCATGGGTTGTTTTACAGCCTTTTAAAAGCTCAGACCCCTTCTTCATATTGAACTCTCAGCTGTGTTTTTTGCTAGTTAAGGCTGCTGAATGGTATACTACAGTCTCTTCCTCTATAATCGTACCTCCCACACTCCTGTATCCTCAGAAAGAAATTTAATAAATTTCTACAGGAAAACGCTTGCCGCTTTCCAGTAATTGTGTCTTTCCAGGATGCCAAATCATCAAGAAGGACCTTGGAGGCAGAATGCAGGGTTAGTGCCCACTTTACTGTCTCCTTCCTTTTCCTCTTTTCTGCTTGGATTTACAGGAGAATTCATTATAGAAAACACTCCGTCTCCCTACTTCTACTGTTGTTAGCAACAAGAAAATGAACAGTACACAATTTCTTTTCCTATATAGAAGAAGTAGCATTTGAATGGGGCAGGATTTTAATGAGTATGATAGTGAGGGTGTTGGGAGCTAAAGGCACTCAGACCCTGGTCAGTGTGTGGGTGTCTCTGAAGTAGCATTTGAATGGGGCAGGATTTCAATGAGGATGATGGTGAGAGTGTTGGGGGCTAAAGGCATTCAGAGGTTGGTCAGTGTGTGAATGTCTCTGGGCCTCAGCTCCCTTCTCTGTTGCCGTTTTCTCCTTCCTATTCCCATACCATAATGTCATCCCATCAGCTCCTTTGGCCGAAGCCTGTCAATACTGTTTTTTCAACCACAAATCCAGTTTTTAAAGCTCTATTTTCAATGATTTTACTTTTTCTTAAGAATTGTAGGCCAGAATACTGTTTGGCAGAACTAACAATGATTTTACCACCAGGTGCAGGAGACAACAGCCATGAGTGACTTCTGGGACAAGTAATAACCCTACTGTGTCCTCCCCAAACGCTTCATTGAAATTCCATCACAACAGCTATAATACTTTGATTTCAATTGTAAAACTCCCATTAAAATGTAAATACCCAGAGGAAGAATAATGCCTTGAACTCTCTCTAAGCATTTATCCCTTTGGTGAGTTAGATATTTTACTGACATTAGATTTTTATAGGAGAAAGAGGGGAGAGTGTGAGAATAGGAGAGTACTCCCAAAAAAAAGGCTGGGAACACCAAAGACCAACTTGGCTGACTTTACAATCATCTAAAACTCCATCCTCAGGAAATGTCACTGGGCTAATTGTTCCCTACTTTGGTTTATTAATCCTCATCTCTTTGGTTTGGATTGGTTTCTATCCCTCTGCCCAAGCCACGATGTCACAGCCAAACATCACTATCCCTATTGGGTATGATTTGCTACAATTGCTGGGTCTAAGTTTCTGAATCATCTCAAGACTCAGTGTAGTTGTTCTGTTGTTTGTAATATGTAATACATATTACAAAATCTATCCCAAATCTGGCTGACCATTTTCTCTTACTACTATCCCCTCCTCCATTAGTAATATATCTAAGTCACCGTAAGGGATAAATGCTCCTCCATCCACGGGGAGGAGGGGATAGGAGTAAATCACAAAACCCTTCCCTGTCTTTCATCCATCTCCCTTTCTTGAGCCAGTTTTTTCTCTTGCACCCTACATTACCCATGTTCAATAGCTCTTCCCCTTGACCATTAATCCCGGATGTGGATCTTGTCAAATCTTGTTTAAAAATCAAAGCACTCTTCATACAGCCACTAAATCTCCTTCATCTTTCATGACAGGGATATCTTCAAGAAACTCCATCCGATTTGTTAAACATGACCTCCTCTGCCTGGGTCCTTGAAGCCTCCCTTCAATAAAGTAGGCTTTTCCAGGTGCTCTCCTACCACATCCTTTAAGAATGCTTCCAAGAACTCCCTCCGCTGCACCCTTCTTATCCCTAAACAAACCAGATGTTACACACTCTGTTCTCCTATCTCTCTGCTTGTCTTAAGAGGGATCTTAAAAGAAATATGAAGATGGATCTGGCTATTTTCAAATCCTTTGGAATTACTTCCAAATAGATGAATTTCAGTCACTGCTGCTTTACCTTGTCCGCTCTTCCCACGAATGCAAATTTTTTTTTAAAAAAGTAAAATGAATAGCCATGTGTTTTCCACTGCATTGCATGACGTACCTATGTTGTATTTTTTGAAACTTGCCTATAGGTCAATTATCTTCAAATATACATTCAGGATTTGAGGGGACTCAATATGTAACATGCCTTTGAACCAATGGAGAGATTGGTTCAGAACCAATTGAGAGACGGGCATAGCTCTATGAAGACTAAGCCTCCACCTTTAACATTGTAAGTGAATTTTCTATTGTTTTAATTCTTTATTACATACATTTTTCTGCCCAATCTTTGGAACAACCAGATAATTATGAGATTCCTCCCTCAGCACATAGCCCACCCCACAGAGTAAAATGCACCCTTCTGGCAAATAAGCAGATCCCAAAGAGAGGAGTGAGAGGTAGGGGCTAGACCAAGCATTAGTATTGTGTTTTTCCAAGTTTACCACTCAGAAAAGTCATTCCTAAAGAGTAGAATATGTGAGGCATGGAGAGGGGCTGAAAAACTGTTCCTCTGTGGAAGTTCCTCAGGATAAAGGTTCAAATAGTTAGGCATAGTCTCCCAGTAATGTTAAGCAGCACAAAAATTGCATATGTTGTTTGATGTAAAATGCAGATTCCTAAGGCCTAGTCTGATTCAAGATCTGGAATAGGACCAAGGGTATCCAAATATGTAAATGAACTCTCAATGATTCTAATGCAGGTAGTTGGTTAACCCACTTTGAGGGACATTACATTAGAATCTTACAAAATGTTCTCCGAAAAAAGGGATTATATAGTCAACTGTTTTGGAAATATTAAATAAAAACAAATTAAGCACACTTTTCTTGATTCATAATATGATAAACATTGAACAGAATGCAACATAATATTCCTCAAGCTTTTTTTCAGACCACTTATTAATGATTTGAGGGATGCCACTGCACTAACACAGTTTGAAAGGTGCTGAGTTGAGTGCCTGGAACAAGAGAACTAACTATTGTCATCTGTACTGGTTAGAATATACCTGAAATTCAGTTTACAGCACTACCATGCTTTAAGAGAGTTGTTGAAAACCTGGAGCATGTTGAAAGAATTTGGTCTTTAGGGGTTTGCTAATGATATCACCTGAACAATGGTTGAAAGAGACTGAAGAGACTCTTAGGTTAAAATGGCAGTTCAAATATGCTAAACTCACATTTTTCAAAACCCTACCAAAGCCATAGGAAAGAGATTCAAAGGACTAGGAAATAAAGCGAGAAGACAACAGCCATACATTTTGGAAGCTGGAAAGCATATGAAGCAACAGTAAATGAGTTATGAAAACCAAAACAGTGGAATCCAAAACCAGAGTGGAGAGAGCTGGGAATCAATGTGTTACCCACCCACAGATTCTTCAAAATCTCTGGAATTCTCAGGACAGGACAGCTCCAGTTTCCTTTGTAACTGGGCATGATGGTGGAAAAGAAAATATAAAGAATTGTGTGAAAACTTCTGGCAAAGCAGTCAGATGTTTAGGTTTTCTTCCAAGTTCTATGCCACTGGGTAACTGACCTTCCTCCACTCTAGAGGTTTATCATCTGAAGAGGGTAGAACAGAGAAACCTGGGATGGGGGTTGGCTGGCACAGGCGTTAGTACAGTTAAGATGGGCTATCCTACTGAAAATAAGGTATACGCATTAAATATTGAATGCTGAGTTCCCCAGACCTATTTTAACCCCCAGCCCTAACAAGTCTCCTAGAATTCCCTAACAAGTCTCCTAGAATTCCCTAAGCAAGAAAATGAAAGAACATACTTTTAAAAATCTGATTATCCCCAAAGAAAAGACCAAAACCAGGGGCTCACTGCAAAATAGCCAACCACATCACCTACCTGAAAGCTCAATGTCAACAACCCCATTTACAAATGCCTACAGCCATATTCTGGGTGCCATATGCCCTCCCAGAACCTTCCCACTCCCCATTGAGAGTCAGTATTTATTTCTCTCCCATTGAGAATGGGTGGAGCTTTGTGACGGCCTCAATGAATGAAAGGTATTGCATGATTTTTGAGGCCAGGTCATCGAAGACAATATGGCTTCTGCTTGGCCCTTTCTCTCTCTGGATTCCTGCCCTTAGAATCTTGCCACCATGCTGTGAGGAAGCCCAAATTTTAGCCAATAGGGAGAGGCCCACTGAAGACGAATTGAGGCTTCAGCCAAAAGCTAGCATCAACTATAAGACCTGTGAGTCATGGACTCCAGCTCCTAGATTTGGAACCTTTCAGCTGGAGCCTCTGATGTCAGAAGTGCCGTTCTTCCTCTGCCCTGTTCGAACTCCTGAAACACAAAATCCATGAACGTAATAAAGGGTTGTGTTAGACTGCTATACCTTGAAATAATTTCTTATAAGTCATTAATAACTGAAGTAAGCATTAATTGAACCTTTAAACAGTTAAACTTACAATAATTATTTTGAAGATCATCTTGCCTTAAAAACTTCAAGATCTTTGAGGGGATAATTTGCCATCTTAGTATTTAGAAGAACTGTGTTTGTGTCTATATGAGGGAGATCAGATTATAATAGAAGGTAAATGGGTACAGCTACTTGGGAGGCTGAGGCAGGAGAATGGCGTGAACCCGGGAGGCGGAGCTTGCAGTGAGCCGAGATCCCGCCACTGCACTCCAGCCTGGGCGACAGAGCGAGACTCCGTCTCAAAAAAAAAAAAAAAAAAAAAAGCTTTCCTGGAATTTTAAACTATTTTCTCTTTTGATTAAAAAAAATAGAGGATGAGATATGCACTCATTACAAGAATATTACATTTCAGGATTTGGTAAAATGAAGAGAAAGTTTTGAATGGGCTAAACAGGAATTCAAGGACTTCTTATAATACATTCCAGAGCTCAGCAACTCTTTTTTTATATTGCCTGCTGTTTGGGATTATATTCATCATTGCTGCCTTCAGTTACAGGTGGGGACATTACTTTGGAAACCTTTGTTTGTATTGTCTTTGTAACCTAGATCTATTGCCCATGACATTTTAGCTATTTAATAACTACTGTTCCAGCAAAACCTCCCCAAGGAGCAGTTCAAGCTCCCAATGTCCACCAACCTAAGCTCTCCATAGGAGCAATGAAAAAACACAGGTGTGAGAAATCTGAGGATTCCTTCTCCGAGGGCTCTCTCTCCAGTCAGGGGTGTGTCTTCCTTAAAATAGAGCTTAAGCTCTATGGGGTAGTTAATCTTAGATATTCAGAAATGGAAGATTAACCCCCAAAGATTAAGTGATTATCTAAATGCGTTAATTCAAGGTGATTGTTAATTTATTACCTTCGATTCTTATGAATGAATGACAGTTCATCCTGCTAACTTCCTATAGATTATTTTCATCAAATGAGAACAAAAGTGTTTTTGTGAGGAAAATACATATATTTCCTCCAAATGAACAACAGAAAGATAGCACCATGTTTATGTACCTTATAAAAGGTGTGAAGGAGATTCTGAAATTCCATGACTCACTCATCTGGTGTGACATTTTTCATTTCAAAGAATATTGGTTTCTGCTTGAGCTTATAGTAAAAAGACAGGATTCCAATATTTATAGAAACAAAAAAAAATTTATTGGCCTTTTTCCTCTCAAAGAGATTTAGGGCTACCAAGTCTAGCAAACCCTATTGATTCAAGAGATACCTACCATATGTCATTTTTTTTCCAGGCTTTTTTATTGGTTCTGGAGAGGCAAATTAGACATGAAATTTGCCTTCAAAAAGCATATAATCTCATGGGGAGGTAAACCATGTATAAAAATAATTAAAATGTAAGGTAATAGAAAGTGAGATGGACTGTATGGAAGGTAGGGACACACTAAGTGAGAGTTAAGAGGGAGAGAAACTTTGCAGCTGCTGGTAGAAAATTCAAGATGGTGGGATAAAGGGGATGTGGAGTCAGAGGAAGTTGGTTTCATGGTGGAGATGAACCAGGGGAAACACACAGAAGATTTTTCAAGTGAAAAACAAAGGTTTGGTTTGGCTGGAATATCCAAACTGGATGTACATCAGTATTGATGGGGTCCTGCTAAAGGGGAGATTCCTGGGCTCTACCAGACTTACAGACCCAGCTCAATGTAGTGGTTTCTATAGGGGTGGACCTGAGCACTCATACATTTAACAGGCTGCTCTTGGGACCATAACTACAGCTGGGTTCAGGGATTTCCAGGCTGAAGGACAAGGTTTATAATAGGGGGGGATGAGAGATGACATTGGGAAGGTTCGCTGGTGTCAAATCATAAAGGGCCTTGACTTCCAGAATGTATATGAGCTTTATTCATTAGTCAGTGGGGGCACTGGGAGAGACTCTTGAGGAATGAACTGACAGATCAGAGAAGTGCTTCCAGAATGGCGATCAGCTGCTGTGAATAGGATGGATTAGCAGGTCAAAGACCAGAGGTAGGGAAAACAATTAGGTGCCACCTGTAATTTCCCATGAAAGAGTAATTGAAGCATGAAATTTAAGAGTGGCAACAGCAGGGCTGGAGAGAAAAGTATGGGAGGGCTTCTAATCTCATTCACCTGACAATGGTTTACTTTCATTCCTGGGACATCTCTGACTTTGATCTTGCTTCTCCTTGAATACACTCTTAGTAAATCCTTAAATACTTATAACCCAGGCTCTTGTTATTTATGGCTAAAGTACATTGTGCTTAAATATATAGAATGGCATTTTCTATCATTATTTTAAGACAAAAGCATGTTCATTTCACTGAGTCCTCTGAACTTAAAGATACTTAAGGATGTCTTAATCTGGATATGATTGACTCTTTGCCAAAATGAGATGGAACAAGAAATGGTGGAAGCCGTTGAATTTTTTTATCTGCCCAGCACCTTGCATATGAGTGAACACACAGTAATAACTTTAAAAATCTTGGTTATTTACTTGAGCTCCAATTCCAGTTTCTGAAGGTTTTGATTCTGTTCTGATTTTCTTGGGAAGTCAGGATATGCTTTTAAAAATATTATTTCTTCTCTAATAATCTTTTTCTCTTTCTCTGCTCTCTGCTCACACAGCCTGTTCTCATAGGCTTAATGGGCCCTGATTACTCACAGGGATGCATAAAGTAGTCCCTTTAGAGGAATAATAGAGGCTGATGACTTCTTGGAATTACCTGGCCTTTGAACACATTGCACATGTTTGGGAAATGGCTCAAAATTTGGCACATTACTGTCTTCCACATGAATAATTGCAGCACATAAAAACAGATATTCCCAGCAACTCTGTATAAGGAAACATAGCTAAATGAAAAGAAGAGAGGGCAAATGCTGTGTCCTTTTGTGTGGAAATATCAGAAGAAGAAAAAAACTTTCTGTCTCAAAAACATAGCAGCTTATAAATTCAGATTAATCTTAACCAAAAAAAGGATAAAATGCAAATGAATCTTAAGGAAAAACTTAAAATTAGTTGCTGTAATCTCTATGGGACCTGTTATGGGCTAAACTGTGTCCCTTCAAAATTCATATGTTGAAGCTCTAAACCTGAGTACCTCAAAATCTGACTGTATTCGGAGACAGGATCTTTAAAGAGGTGATTCAGTTAAATGAAGCCATTAGGATGGATTCTAATCTGATGTGATTGGTGTCCTTATAAAAAAGAAGGAACGTGGACATAAATAGAGACATCACAGATGCAAACAGAAAAGACCACGTGAAGACAAAATGAGAAGATGCTGTCCCCAAGCCAAGTAGAGAGCCTTCAGAAGAAATCACCCCTGCTGACACCTTGATTGTGGACTTCCAGCCTCCGGAACAGAGCAATGAGAAAGCAAACTTCTGTTGTTTAAGCAACTCAATCTGTAGTACTGTGTTTTGTTATGGAAACCCCGGGCCAACAAATATGGACCCCCAGTGCCAAAGGGAAATCAGAGGGCTTGGGAGGAGCCTGGCACCAATGAGAGGCCCACCCTGTATGGCACACGCCTGAGCCAGGGGTATTGTGGCATCAATTGATCTTCTACCTCCATCACCAAGGGGTCCCTTACCTCACCAGAAGAAACCATGAGAAGCAGCTGTTTTCAGGGTTTATCTCCATTTTATCAGATGTGTTTATGGTGATATAATGGAGATTGAAAAAAAAAAAACAGAAGTAGAACGTATTTTCAGAATCTCTCTTCGTTTTAGCAACCGGTTCAAAGTTGAGATCAAATGAAGATTGTTAAGAAGAAGGACTACAGGTCATAGGAGAAGGTGACCCCTCCAGTGGCTTGCTTTCTGGGGTCCTGACTCTCTCAAACACGTGCCTCCACTGCCTGCACTTGACCTGAGATGCAGTTCCTTTACTGTGCATTTTGCTCTAATCGCTCTGCCCCACTCAGTCACTGCCTGTTTCCACCTCTACTATATTTTGGATTTCAGACTGACTTTTTATTCTCAAGGCCACCTTCCCCAAAGAGACTCACTTTCCTTTCTCCCTGCATGACACCCCAAAGCTGTGAGCCAACCCTAGCTGCTCCCACACCAGAATCAACTCATTGAACCCCAGGCTTGGCCAGAGCTCCAGGTTGGCCCAAGAGAGTGAAAAGAAACAAGAATAAGCCCAGTCCAGGCACCAACCCTTTGGCTGGGCTCACCACAACCTCAGTGCAAAGAGGAGCAAAATGCCCGCTAACTAACCTGCACCAATAATACCATATTCTATCAAATCTAGGTAGCTATCAGTTGAAAGACACAATATGATTTTATATACCAGTAAAAAGAACAAATACTGTCAAGTAAACACTATCACACTATCAACTGTAAGATGCTTAATATTACAGAGTAGTTCAAAGGTTTTTTTTAAAAACTGTGTATTTTAAAATCAATGATGACATGAGATGCATAAGCATGAAAAGGGTGTGACTTAAGAACAATGTCCCAGCACTTTGGGAGGCCGAGGCGGGCGGACCACGAGGTCAGGAGATCGAGACCATCCTGGCCAACATGGTGAAACCCTGTCTCTACTAAAAATACAAAAATAAGAAATTAGCCGGGCATGGTGGCAGGCGCCTGTAGTCCCAGCTACTCAGGAGGCTGAGGCATGAACCCGGGAGGCGGAGCTTGCAGGGAGCCAAGTTCGCACCAGCCTGGGTGACAGAGCAAGACTCCATCTCGGGAGCCAAGATCACACCAGCCTGGGTGACAGAGCAAGACTCCATCTCAAAAAAAAAAAAAAAAAAAAAAAGAAAGAAAAATGAACAAATCCTTGTCTTTTTGCAGACATATGATTTTATGCTGTGATTTTAAAGTTTGCAATATTTTTTCTGTACTGAGCAGGAAATAAATACATTTTCCTACGCCATCCTCCAAATCCATACAACTGAAACCCCATATAGTTTCCCAGGTCAAGGTAACGAAGGCAGGAATTCAGGGTAGATACTGTCCCAGAGGTTTTCATGAATATCTAAGCTTGTGACTATTGTATAAGAGAGTGTTTCCAGAGGCTCTTGCTTTTCTTCTGAATGTATTTCTATTGTTTCAGGTTGCCTGATAGCCCTTGCTATCTAAATTCTCATTATCTGAATTATTGCTGTCTAAACTAAGACACTAAATAGATGTAGATAGCTTTTTTTTAGATGGCCTGACATCTCTCAGTATCTGAGCTCTCATTCCTGTCTATCTGAAATCCACGAACCATCTGATGTGGATAATGTTTCACAACCTGAGACTGAAGATTTCCAGACCTAAACAGACCTTTCCAATGAAAGAATGGCCAGGTTTCTGTGTAGGACCATGCTTGTTTAAGCCCCGTCAGTCACCTTGTTACGCAGAAGGCTAGCAATTCTTTCGCTGGAAACTCCATCATCTAACTACGCGAGGTTGAGCAAGTTGCTTTATTTTTCCCACCTTTGTTTCCCTGTCTGTCCTATGCAAGTTACGACTGCCCCATAGAGTTGCTGTGAGAAATAGATGTGATTGATTTTATGTAGATGAGCAGGAGTACTCAGTGCCTGAGGCCTCACACCTGCTGCCAGCTTGTCTGCCCCTCTACCCCTCTGGACACCCCCTTCCTTGACCTCTGGCTACTGGTTGGTTTTGGCCAATGGGAGGCACAGTAAGGGGTTGGGAGCAGGAAGGAAAAAGGAGTTTGGATACTTATTATTCCTGAAATCTTCCTGCTTTCTACTTCATTTTGTCCTAGAGAATGCCCATTCTTTTTTTTTTGAGACGTGATCTCAGTTCACTGCAACCTCCGCCTCCCAGGTTCAAGCAATTCTGCTGCCTCAGCTTTCCCAGTAGCTGGGATTACAGGCATGTGCCACCACACCCGGCTAATTTTTTGTATTTTTAGTAGGGGGTTTCTCCATGTTGGTCAGTCTTGTCTCGAACTCCCGACCTCAGATGATCCGTCCGCCTTGGCCTCCCAAAGTGCTGGGATTACAGGCATGAGCCACTGCCCCCGGCCGAGAGCTCCCATTCTTTACTGGTTCCCTTAACTCTCTTCACACTCCTGAACACAGTCCCTGTTAACATCTCTTGTATTATTCCTTTGAGGGCACCATCTGTTTTCTCCCAGGGCCATGACTGTACCCTCTCCCAGGCATGCAGGTGGTGACGTTTGCCCCCTGATGGAGTTTGCTGCCTTAAGAGATTGTATCTTAGTGCAGCAGCAGAATGACTTATCCAGAAAAATCCACTATTTGAAACCTGGCTCTGTGCAGGCTTAAACATTTTGTTTATGTGGTGAAAATAAGGAGAACGTCATTCTTGAAAAGGGATTTCTTTTTTAACTTTTGGCCAAACACCCCCTTTCATTCCCTCCTCCTCTTAGAAAAAAAAAGAAGATGCTCTGGCTTGTATTTATGAGGGAGTAAGGCATGCAGTTCTCCTTTCAAAGCTGTTCACATGGAAAGGAAACTGGCCTTGACATTTACACAGTCCAGGAGGATTCCAAATAGAATTTGGACAGATTGGGAAGTTACCATCTTGGAGTGTAGGGAAAGCAAGCCTGGTGGGAAGATGTGGTGACATATATGAGGCAATCCATAGATGTTAGGAATGTGCTGCTCTGTATGTGCCTCGCTTCTTCAAGATCCAATGGAATTGCCACAAATATGCATATGTTCTTTATGATATCACATGAGAAGACCATCCAATTAAAGCACTCCACACTAAAGGCAAGGCGTATAAGTGCTGCATATATTTATGATTGCTTAATGTCAACAAAAGGGTCTTTTAAGCACAGCACATTCCTTACCCTGCACTCGCAGATCATGCTAAACACATCCAAATGCACAAACTATAAAAGAAGGAAGAGGCAGTACCGGCACCAAGCTCTTTGGTTTCTGCATCTGGCCGGTGTCCACTGGGAGAAATGTAAGTCAGAATTTACCACATGGATTACAAATGTGCTGAATTGCAAGAATGATTATTAAATGAACATATCCATAGCACCTGCAACTTGTCCCGGAAAATTCCCCCAGGGTGTTGTGGGTGCTTTTCTAAAAAAATTTTTTAAGGAAAAAAAGGAAGACAGAGTGAGATGCAAATGGCAACTCCAGCTGTTTATAGTAGCAACTCCATTAATGTTCCTGAAGGGTTTGCAGAGTCAATTCAGTCAATCTGAGCTGCTTCCATTCTCAGCATGAGTGTGAGGAGTGGGGGCTAGGGGAATATCATTAGCCTCTTTCCTTTGAGGTTTGGATGATCAAGACAATGAAAATAATAGTAATGTAAATGGAAATTGCTTTGAAAAACAAAGCATGTCAGTGCAGGGGGAAGCATGAGGCTAGCTCCATTTCTCTGACCCAGCAGTAGTATTTATTCTGTTATAAGGTCAGGGCTTCTTCTAGAAACAGAAACTGAGAGGCTATGTGGATTTCGTTTATTTAATACATGATTGTGTGTACATATATAGAACACTCTGAACATATGTAATAATATCTGGCTGTGTTTCAATTAGTTTCTGTGTCTGTGTGTGTGTGTGTGTGTGTGTGTGTGTGTGCATGCTTGCATGAGCATGCTCACACATCCATGTATGTTTGTGTGCATGTGAAAAGAAAAATAATAAAGTTAGGGGAAGTTCAGTGAGGTGGTAAATTTCTGGAATTTGAAATCAAAATACCTAGAGTCAAGTTCTCACCCTATCAGTGTAAGTAGTTGGGCAAGTGATTTAACCTTTCTGCACCTGAGTTCCCTAATGCAGCAGTCCCCAACTTTATGGCTCCAGGGACTGGTTTCATGGAAGAACATTTTTCCATGGACTGGGGGCAGTTGCAGGGGGAGGGGGATGGTTTGAGGGATGAAGCTCTTCCACCTCAGATTATCAGGCTTTAGATTCCCATATGGAGCACACAATCTGGATCCCTCGCATGCGCAGTTCACAATAGTCTTTCGGCTCCTATGAGAATCTAATGCCTCTGCTGATCTGACAGAAGGCAGAGCTCAAGCGGTCATGCTCACTTGCCCACTGTTCACCTCCTGCTGTGTGGCACAGTTCCTAACAGGCCATGGACCTGTACTGGTCTGTGGCTTTGCTAAAAAACATGATTCAATGATACTGTTAAAGCAAAGTAAGACTATTTAGCACCATCGTGATAATCACAGGGACCACTGCAATGGGGTCTTGGGTTCAATTCCAAATGCAGCGTGGGCAAGTGGAACTTTATAGCCAAGGAGCAGGGTGGAGGTCAGAGGATAGAACATTACCAAGAGGAAACATCAGGGGTAAGGGGGACTGTGGCTAAATTGACTTAAGAGAATTCTTGCTGAAGGCAGGCCAGGGTGATCAGACATCACCTGGGGATGGTGGATGGAGGATGAGGAAACTGAACACCTATCCAGGGTGATGAGATAGTGAAGGTGAGGGTTCTTGCTAAACTGATTTAGCAGGGTTCTTTGCTAAAAGTGGATTTTATAAGCAAATGAGCAGTAAAGTGTGGCCAAAAAGAATTTTTGTTACCTTGTAGCTTTTTAAAAAAACTATTAATGAGCTGTCATAACACAAATATGATAGGCAGATAGATATATTTTTTGAGACAGGGTCTCACTCTGTTGCCCAGGCTGAAGTACAGTGGCATGATCATGGCTCACTGCAGCCTTGACCTCTTGGGCTCAAGCGATCCTCCCACCTTGGCCTCCAAAGTGGCTGGAACTACAGGCATGCAGCACCAATGCTCAGCTAGTGTTTGTATTTTTTGTAGAGACAGGGTTTTACCATGTAGCCCAGGTTGCTCTTAAACTCCTGGGTGCGAGTGACCTGCCCACCTTGGCCTCCCAAATTGCTGGGATTACAGGTATGTGCCACATTGCCCACCCTATGACAGATACTTTTAAAGGGCTTTAAGAATAATATATCTGGACCCTTGTTCCCATTTCTGACCCCCATCCCACCGCCAGCAAACAAGCATAGACTTCTAAAGGAGTGTTCTACTGTGTCTTCCAGGCCCTGGGGTTTGTGGTGTCAGTGTGGTTAACTGGCAAAAAGAGGACTGAAATGAAACTAAGACAAGCTGAATTGACTTACATTATGGAAGGGCAAAGCGGTGGGGGAAAGCAGAGACCTAGAAATGTGAAAAGATGGCAGAAAGCTAGAGGAAGGTGAGAGCCACTGAGAGTTGAATTTTAGGAGCACTTTTTGTAGTACGGAAGCAGTGAGAAAACAGGTTTTCTCTGTTTTCACCATGCTGTGATGGGCAGAACGTTGGAAAGATAATGATTTAAAGCAAATTTTGAAGAATTGTTTCCTATATGTTGCATTTTGTTATACCTCTTTGCCATTTTCTTAGACTTCAATAAATAATCAGAATTGTTTGCAATCTCTTCTGAATTGATTGTACATTGAACTGGAACACTAGGGAGCTCAGCTTTGCATGTGTTACAGAAAGATAATTTTTAAACTGACCATTGTAAGAATTGTAACCTACATTTTGATGTTGAGTAGATAATGAGTTATGTTTTCAGTTATGCTCAGGATTATGTGGTGAAATGAGAAAAAAAAAAGAAATGCACAAGACATAGAACTATATTTTTACCTCCAGGGCAAAATGCTGAATGGCAGAAGGCTGAAGAAAAGCTAAAAGCTCCGTCCTATTGAGAAGTTCATCACAGGGAAGACTCCACTGAAGTAATCAGATGCCTTTCCTGCTGCCCTGAGTCTTTAACTGTCCAAAGGGAGTCCTGAACCCAAAGCTGTTTCAGCTGCATGCGATTGTTAGGATCATTCACTCATACCTCTTCGTTTAGGATAGAGAACAATCAGGCAAAGAAAGGGGAGGACTAACCCAAGGTCAGATAATTAGCTAAGGGCATCAGAACCCACAGTTCAGGGTTGTTAGTACCACATCAAGCTCCCTTGCAAATTAGCTTCATAAATTCTAAGCCCACAGGCTCAGGGCTCATCTGAAAGAGATGGACCAGAGAGGAGGAGATGGAGAAAAAAGTCTCCTACCACACACTGGAACCACTTTTACAGAAGTGCCTGTTGTCTCCCCTGCACCCCTGCACTCCCAACCCCAACAATGCCAGGCAGCAAGCTGTTGCAGAAAGGAAGCAGGCTGCTGCCCCTGCAGTGTTCAGGCCTCCTCCTGGCAGGGCTCCCTCTACCTGAATCCATCTCAGGGAAATGGTCATCTCTGACTATGCTGCACAGAGCCTGCAAAGCTATGTTAATAATCTCTCTGGGCCTTAAACTGAATAACCAAGATTTCGCACATGTACCATTCACTTCCCACTTAATATGCACACTCAATTTACACAGGAAGTATGCCTAAGGCTCTTTCAATGACTGTATGTGACTACACATAGGGTTTTTCTTTTATAACAGATTGGCAAATGCCTGAGGTGGTATGAGTGTGATGTTGCTGGAAAACCTTAGTTGAAATTCCTAGACTATATGAAATCCTTTTTAAATCTCCTTATTCTGAAAACATATTTTTTTAAAAAAAATTTAGACCACTCATGGGATTTAAAGTAAAAAGTACAAATATACTGTATTTCGTGACTATAATCAAACTGGAGACATTATGCAAACATAGAGCTCTTATATTTTCATTCTTCTACTTTAGGTCGCAATTGTCTATCTCTGCATTATGTGCAAACCAAAATGAGAACTGCAGGAATAAAACACATGGTTGTGTCCACGTTCTGAATGTTCAAGTATTAGCAGAATTGAGAGATCCATAGAGTCACAAGAAATCATGAAAAATTATTTTGTGTTGCTGCCCCTTTTTCTGCACCCCTCCCTATGATATATGCCTCTTTACTTATTGCAGGTCCCTGGGAGTTTCCTCCAGCTTTTAAATGAGGCAGGAGTCTACTTTTACCTCTGATGACTCAGTGTAGTATCCAATAATAGTCACAGAATAATACATAAGTATTTTCCTTATGTCTAACCTAATTTCTAAATATAGACTTATACTTCTGGCTATGATGTAGTAGTTTGTGGCAGACTTAAAACTCTTGCCAGGAACAACCAAAAGAGAAGGTTGATTTTTAGAAGTGTCTAAAGGCATGATGGCACTACTAACACAAGGACTCAAAGGGCCACACACAGGAAGAAAGGAAGCTCAGTGAGGTGAATATCCTGCTTTTCTAGTCAGGACATTTGGCAATTTTTAGTATGGGATAAGTGTCAACCTCAAAAAAAAAAAAACATCAGAGAAAACTATCTCTTAGGGCTGGGCATGGTGGCTCCGGCCTGTAATCCCAGCACTTTGGGAGGCCAAGGTGGGTGGATCACTTGAGGTCAGGGGACCAGCCTGGCCAACATGGTGAAACCCTGTCTCTGCTAAAAATACAAAAAATTAGCAGGGTGTGGTGGCATGCACCTGTAATCCCAACTACTCGGTAGGCTGAGGCAGGAGAATCCCTTGAACCCAGGAGGCAGAGGTTGCAGTGAGCCAAGATCACACCACCGACAGAGAAAGACTCAGTTTCAAAAACAAACAAACAAAAAAACCAAAAACTTACCTCTTAATTTAATGATTTTATTCAAGAGTAAGCAAAGAGGATTATAACCTGGGATGCACAGCTATAGCAAGTCTCAGGTGCACCTGAAGAGGGGAAGGTAAGAGGAAGCTTTTATTTGGCAAAAAGGGAGAGGTTTACATAAGCTACTTAGAAAGACTTTTATTGGTTCTGTAGGCTCAAAGCTGGAATTGGCATCAGTTCATTGGTGGAGATGCCATTACTAGGCAAGTGTTCTTCTGAGAACATTTTATCTGAATTGCTGCAGTCCTAAAGAATGTCTAGTGTTAAATCTGGTCATAGAAATATGTGCATGCATGCAAAATGTAGGTAATAAAAAGCATGAGATGCTTAAAGGACATGAAAGAATTTCTCATGAGATTATTTTAAAAAGTCCTTGGGACGATCTTGTTTCAGACATACAAGCATTAGCTCTCTGTCTTCATGCTTTCCCAGCTTCAGTTTGTTTGGGCCTGCCAAGAGTGATTTCATCCTAGTATCTGCAACCTTCCCATTAGCCCATCAGAGGAGCACTTCTAATGGTCAGAGAAGTGGTACAGCTTTAGGCAATGATAAGGTGTAGGGAACAAAAGGTTGGAATTCTGGATTTCCAAGACAGCTAAAATGTGAGGGCTAAAATCCTGGAGAGAAGAAAGGTGCAGAAAAGGGAGCCTGATATTTGGCACCATTTTTATTCTCTGGGCATTTGATAATTAAGCTATATAGGGCAAGAGGCTGCAAAGCTAAACAGTAACAACCGAAAAGCAGAGCAGTCTCTGGCAGTCACATGGTACCAAGAAATTTTTTAAAAATTGGGTTTAAAACTTGAAAAAGAGGAGGAGTCATTGCAGACACTTCAGGCTCTAAGCTGGGACCACTGGAAGGTTATATTCTACAAGCAGAGGTAGACCAAGTTTTCCAATGATGCAAATCAGTCTCAAGTCAGTTCCATCTATGATTAGATTGAAACAATCTGTCTCCTCCTGCCTTCAGAAGGGAGACTGAATCCCCTCTGAAAGAATACTGCATTATTCAAAGCATTAAAAATTTTCACACACAATATCTGACATTCAACAAAAAATGATTAGGCATGCTAAGTAATAAGATCAATAAATTAATAAACAAGAGAAAGAGATATGTGACCCAGATATTCAAATTATTAGATATGAGTTTAAAAATAATTTTAATTAATATGTTTAATAAAATAGATGGCAATATGAAGAATTTCATTATAGAATTGGATTCTTTTTAAAATAATCAAATGGAAAATTTTAGGAATAAAGTTTTAATATCTGATATTAAGAAATAGGTGAACAGCAGATTAGACAGAGCTAAAGAGGAGCTCAGTAAGCTAGCAGATAGGTTAATAGGAAATATTAACAGTGAAGCCTGAAGACAAAAAAAGCATAAGAATTACAGAAAATAATGTCAGAGACACATAAAATATGGTGAAAAATCTTAACACAGAGTTTCTGAACCTCTGCACTATTGGTATTTTGAGCCAAATAATTATTTGTTGTATGGATATTTTGTCCTAGGGACAAAATTTTCCAAATTGAGAGTCATTAGTCTAAACCTAGCATAATTAAAGAGAGAATGAGGCAGAGGCAATACTTGAAGAAAAATGGCTGAGAATTGATTCAAGAAGCACTGCAAATCCAAAACCTAGGCATATCGGAGTAAAACTGTCAAAACAAAAAATAAAGAGAAAATAATAAATATAGCCAAAGGGAAAAATGATATGTTACTTTTGAAACAGCAACTTTAACAGTTCACTTCTCAACAGAAATGAAGGGAACTATGTGACAATGGAATGATAGCTCTAAAGTGCTGAAACAAAATAAAAGCTGTCAGAATTCTATAGCCAGTAAAAAAAATACTCAAAAACAAATAACAAATAAAGGTATTCCTGACAAAAGCTGAGAGAACTCATTCCTGACTCGTTTCCCTGCAGGAAATACTTAAGGGAATCTTTCAGTCAGAAACACAGAAAATGCAAGAAGAAATGAAGAACAATAGAATGGTTAAATATATGGGTAAATCTAAATTAATATTGACACCAGAAAAAAAATAACAATAATATTTAATGAGATTTACAATGTATGTAGAAATAAAATATATGGTAACAATAACAGGAAGGATACAGAGGGTTGTGCAATAGAAGAACTAATATAACAGTCCTTAGACTGCTATCATTAGAAAGGCCTGCTTGCAAGGTTGCCTCTGCATTTGGAAACTTGGATTTTAGTAGGGTTCCCACCATTTCCTGAGCCAATAGTAGTGGCTCACTGTGTGTAAAGAGTTTGTGTGAACCATATGGTTTATGCTGAACACCTAGTTTCCTTCTGGAAGTCTGAAATTTTGGTACATGCTAGACGGAAGTTGTCTATATGACCAATATTTAATAAATACCCTGGGTGGTAAGTCTCTAATGAGCTTTCCTGGTAGACAAGCATTTGACAAGTGTTGTTACAACTTGTTGCTACAGGAATTAAGCACTTCTTATATAATTCCACTGGGAAAGGACTCTTGGAAGGTTGTGTCTAGTTCCCTCCGAACTCTGCTATATGTACATTTTCCCTTTGCTGATTTTGTTTTGTATCATTTTGCTGTAATCAATCATAGCTATTAGCATAACTATATTCTGAGTTCTGTGAATCCTCCTAGTGAGTAATAAAAACTTGGGATAGTCTTGGAGGACCCCAGATACAGGGCCTTTTAAATCTCAACATTCAAAAGTTCAAGATTTCCAAGGCTCTTTCAACATCAGTGAAGTGGTAGAAGCACAAATTTGTATTAGTTTCTAACAAATAAAAAAAAGGACACTGTAGTCTTCAAGATAACCACTGAAACAAAACTAAATGAATGTTTACTTAATGAGCTAATAGAAGTGGTAATAGGTCATAGGGAATACTTGATTAAGCCAAAGAAAGGCCAAAAAAGGAGAAAAGGGGATCAAAATTAATGTGAAAGATGAAAAAACAGATATTAATATAAACCTAAATATTTTAGTAGTTCCATTAAATGTAAATGGCCTATATATCCTAATTAAAAGACTAAAGTAGGCCAGAGGCTCACACCTGTAATCCCAGCACTTTGGGCGGCTGAGGCAAGAGGATCGGTTGAGCCAAGGAGTTCAAGGCCAGCCTGGGCAGCACAGCAAGACCCCATCTCTACAAAAAAATAAAATAACAAATTAGGTGGGCATAATGGTATACATGTGTAGTTCCAACTACTTGAGAGGTTGAGGTGGAAGGATCACTTGAGCCCTGGAGGTCAAGGCTACAGTGAGCTATGATTATGCTGCTGCACTCCAGCCTAGGTGATAGAGTGAGAGTTTTCCTTGAGAAAACAAACAAACAAAAAAGATTAAGCTAGATTTTGTAAAAAGTCCAACCATATACTGCTCAGAGGAGATGCACTTTAAATATAAGGAGGCAAAACTATTGAAAGTAAAAGTATGGAAAAGCTATATTAGGCAAACCAGTAGTATACTGGAGCCAGCTATTAAGGGCTTGAAAGGTTGTGAAACATTCAGAAATTTTGACTGTTAAAACTTTGTTTTAACATTTACACCACTGATGCAAACCTTAATCAAAAGAAAGATGATATGGCTACACTATTACCAATCTTCTCTAAGGCAAGAAGCATTATACAGATAAATCCATTTCTTACTGATAAAATGATTAATCCACTATTATAGTGTAACAATTTGAAATTTGCTTACACTTAATAACATACCTTCAAAAACAGCAAAATTTGATGGAATTTAAAGAACATGTGCTGAACGTGCAGGTTTGTTACATAGGTATACATGTGCCATGGTGGTTTTTTGCACCTATCAACCCATCATCTAGATTTTAAGACCTGCATGCATTAGGTATTTGTCCTAATGCTTTCCGTCCCCTTTCCCCCCACCTCCTGACCGGCCTCAGTGTGTGATGTTCCCCTCCCTGTGTCCATGTGTTCTCATTGTTCAACTCCCACTTATGAGTGAGAACAAGGACATATATGTAAATTCACAATCATGATGGAAGAGATCAATATATCTTTCTCAATAAATTATAAATATATTGGAAGAATTTCCTGCCTATATGACACAAAGTGGGAGTGTTAGAACTTTTTATTTGTTATCTTCAGACTTTAAGTCTGAAACAAAGATATCCCAAACAGAGGCCATCATTCCACCTGCTTTTAACTGTTTAGCAAAGGCAATCCTGGGTATTTGATACAGGTAATGGCTACTCACGCATGTATTCATAGTCAGTCAAACATTTATTCAAATCCAACCTGTGCCATTCTCTGTTTCAGCTGTTAATTATACCACCATAATGTCTTTGCTATGAAAAACTTGGTCTAATTTGAGATGTAGACATAAACAAGATATTGCAGAGCAAAGCACCAAATATTCCATTATCAGTTAAGATCTTTCCCATTGCAAATAATAAAAACCTTGACTCAGATTTTTTTAAATGTTATTCATCTGCAACTTTTGAATTTCTACAATCATAGAAAGTTAGACATAGATAGACAGGACATTTATAATCAACTAACCAGAGTGCTTTAATTTTAACATTAAATATAACACAGCATAGGGACTTATTTACATTCATAGAGCAAAGTAGTTGTAATGCCTGAGAGGATAACACCTTATTCTTTATTGAATGGTGCTCTTGTTACACCATATTGCACACCTTGTTTCCCTTTTGAGCCTATTCTGTTTTGAAGCAAAACTTGTAGTTTCTTCTCTAAAGCAAATAATCAGGGTAAAAAGATTATATAGATGATTATGCAAGATTTTATATGTACTTTTAAATTTTTCTTCATTCTAAAATCTTTATCCATTTATAATCAGGTGCAATTGAGAATTTTCAGGACAAATAATAATTCATTTATTTATTCAACCGTCACATATTTATTGGTATTTATGTGCAAGATACTTTGCTAAGCCCTTGGAATTTAAGAGTGACTTTATTGAGTGCATTATCTGAAAGGGGAAAAAATAAACACATCTCTACCATAATAGTGATAAATGCTGCCATAGAGGTATGTACTAAGTAAGTGTATATAGGAGGAGATACAATTTATTGAATAATCTTTTATGGTCAGAAGGCTTACAAAATATGGCAAATATATCACAAGCTTTATAGAAATAAATGTATATGAGCCTGGGTGCATGTATGTGTATGAGAATGTGGGTAATTAAAAATGGCTGAAGGTAACTTTGGCAGTGACATAAAAACTAGACTCAATGCTGTTCAAGTAAAAGTAATTACCAGATCACTGGGAAATAGGAGAAAGACAAAGGTAGTCTCTAGTCTATTAGTAGGGAAGACCAGAATAAAAGTACCAGTACAGCTTAGGTAGAAGCCTATTTATGTTAATTGATGGAGAGACCTACTGACACCATCTTTGGACAAGCAGGAGAATGGATTGTGGGACCCCGAATGCCCTTCTTGCCCTTAATACCTTCATGAAGCAAATGGGGGTAGTTCTCTCAGCATATTATATCATTTGATCCTGTTATTCTGACCAATAATGGTTGCAACTGAAGGTTAGTCCTCTGGCCAAAAACAACTTAATATACTGTTCTGTGTAGTAGGCACTAGCCACATGTGGCTATTGAACACTGAAAATGTGGCTACTGAGCACTGGAAATGTGGCTAATCTGAATTAAGTTATGGTCCAAGTATAAAATACACACAGGATTTCAAAGACTTAGTATATAAAAAAGAAGTAAAACATATTACTAATTTTTTTTTACTCAACACATGTTAAAATATAAATTTAGATATGCTGGGTTAGATGAAATGTTATTACAGTTAGTTCCACCTTTTTCAGTTTACTTTCTTAAAGTAGTTACTAGAAAATTAAAAATTACATATGTTGCTTGTAATTGTCACTGGCATTATATTTCTGTTGGACAGTGCTGCTGCTCTACAGGCTGGACCAACAGCTCGTTAGGAATTGTGGTACAACAACTGCCTGATAGAGGTGCCCCATGTTGAATGGTGACTGGTAACCAATCAGATTCTTTCTCTTGTGGGGGTGCGGTTGGCACACACACACACACACACACACACACACACACACACACACACACACCAGGAGAGCAGAGAAGAGAGGCATCAGAGAAAGAAGCTGCTTCAGAAGAATTGTGGGCCTTCACGGTAGAGAACAATGGATGGCACTTCTGAGGAGACAGGTTGAGAGTATCATCAGACAGCTCTCCAACTATGAATGCTGTTCTGTTTCCAAGAGACCCAGCTGTGTGGTCTGCCCTATTTTATTTCTTCTCTTTATAGTGTCATGATGTCTCTGTCACTTAAGGTACTTTAGCATTTCTATGTTCCTTGTATCTCAAAAGAGCTGAAACCATAATCTGGGTAATAGAAAGGGTTAGAGAAGTTGGCAGTTTTCTGGGAGAGAGGAAGAAAGAAGATTTTGTCTCTGTGAGAAGATACAGTGTTTAAGAGTAACAAAACCTCTCTTCATCTCATTGAAGATGCAACCTGTGCCTGCAAGGGTACATTTAGAAGGCAAGCGAAACGCTTAGTTGATGCAAAGTAAATAGTAGCCATTGTCATTATTACTATTGTGATTATTTTTATTGCAGCTACCTTTTCATGGGGACTAAATGAGATAAAATGGGTACAGCAGCATGCGTAACGCTCAGTAGATAATTTTTTTCCCTCTTTCCTTTGAGAAAAGTGAACCAGACACATTGGGTGTCTGGAAAGAAGGTTACATTGAGAATTACTAACTTTTATTTTTATTTTTAGATTAAAAAGTGATTATTTCACATCATCAACAAACAAGTTAGTTTTTATTTGTTTAAGAAACCATTTTCTCCACTCTTCTATGCAAATTCTCTTACAGCTAAGCCAAGCACCTGCACTCAAATCCTGACATCCTTGCACAATCCTTTCTCTATGCCAGTGTTTCTCAAATGTTGTCCTCAGAACAGCAGTGTCTGCAACAACGGAGAACCTGTTAAAATACACATTGTTGGACCCCATGTCAAATCCACTGAATCAGTCTCTGGGGGCCCTGGGACCTGTTGTAAGCAGCCCTCCGGGGGGCTGAAGATGGAGAACCACTGCTCCCTGTCTGTACTCATGCAGTCTCCCCAGCCCGAGCTGTTCCACTGTCTCCTTTCTACACAGTCAATCTCCTAACCTAGCCTCTCACTCTGCTTCCTCTTCCAGAAAGTCATCCTAAACATCCAGAGGAAGTGTATGCTTTCTGGCTGAAAGGTTGACACACCTGAGCTAATTCATACGCAAGTTTAATTTGTTCTATAAATGGCTTCTTGTGTGTGAGACAATGAACTTGAATACATCTTGGGGGTAGGAGTTCTGCAACCTCTCTTCCACCTTTCTAGTAAGTACACAGTAGCCATGCTTTTTGCATTGAATTGAAATTACACAGAACTTCTTTGTCTTTGCATGGAATATAGTGATAATCTCCTTTCAGATTAGTAGTAACATCCCAAGCCTTACCTTTCTGTCTTCTCACTGCCTGAGGTAAGACATCTAAGACTTAGGGGAATGGACTTTGAATCCACTCTCCCTTCATTTAAAAACTTTCTCCTTCACTGGCAAAAATGCCAGGGTAGCCAGATGTTTTCTCGTCTTAAAGCATTGGGGTGTTATTATAGTTTCAGAAGTGTTGCTGAATTTTTCAGAGAACCTCTGAGAAAAGGAGATAAGGCTTGAAAGTCCTCAACAATTTGCCTGTTCCCTGTAAGACCATAAGAAACTCTTAGGCACATTGAAATGTTTTCCTTTAATTTTTAATTTTTGCTTTACGATAAAGCTAATTAAAGCAACACCTGTTTGGAATGATATAGTTGGTGCTGGGTCAACATTTCCACTGGTTTATAATCCAGCTGTGAAAACTCAATTTGAACTAAAACTTGGGTGTATAATATCCAAACCCAGGGTAATTCAAAAGAAACACTAATATACCAGTGTGCATATTAGGGGGCAAAACAAATAGACACAAAGTGGTTTCAGGTGCTCTTTAGCACTTGTGTAGTGTGCAGACTTTTTTTATGATCACAGTTTGTAGGCCTTCAGCTCCTCATGTAGGTGGGATACCTTTGGGTATTTAAAACGCATGAAAACAGGCCAGTTAGTCTGTGTAAAATATCAGCTACTGTGTACACATGGTAATGAGGTTTTTCTCATCAAGGGGTCTTAAGATGTGAAATGACTACTCCCATGTTTCTCTGGATTTAAGACTCCCTAGGGGCATCCTGATGTGACAGATGACAATATGTCTTGAAGACCAATGGGCTGCTTCTGTCTTACCTCTTCTATTGGGGGGCCATGAAGCAGAGATTTATTGGCACGTCATGTAAAGAAACTGGAACTTGGGTTCAGGCAGGAAATAACACTACAGACTAGAACCTGCCCTGTAGTGGTTCTCAAACACTTCTTAATACCTATAGGGAGACCAGTAAAAAAGGCAGATAAAGGTAGAGTTTCTCAGAATCAGGGGGAAAGCCTAGAGCACCCAGCTGCTCAGCTCAAAAACCTCCAGAAGCCCTGGAGATGCTTGGTGGAACTCTAAGGCTGTGAGAAGCATAGTTTGAAAACTGCTGTCCTACCAATGATTTAAGCAGCTAAGCTAACTCTAAGCTTTACTTTTATATGCTCTTTTGGAGTAGAAGTTTGAACAGTCAATGAGGGAGATAAAATTCACGTTAAGCAGGCTTTGCTTGAAAACACCTTCAAGAAACCCGATAGTGCCACAGAACTGGGTGTTAAGAAAGGAGCACCTGTCAAGCATGAAGACTGGTGACTGGAGTCCACTAACCCCGTGATGTGCTATATGTGAGAGCTTTTGCAAATCACTGAGCCCAGGATCTTTCCCTGGAAAGGGGATAGGAATTCCCGCCAAATTCATAGGTTTCCTTTTTTTTTCTTCTTCTTCCTCTCATTTTAGAGGGGTGGGAAATCAAATAAAATAACGGATTTTCAATTATTTTTAAATTGTGGCACAAGTGGAATTAAAGCGATTAAGAGAGTTTAAGGCAGAGTAGAATGTGGTTTACTATATTGGAATGTAAAGCACAGAGGAGAAAGAGAGAAATATTTCCTGGAACCACTAGAGAAGGCGTATGTATCACATATGGGCAGTCTCAACAAGACTACATCTACTTTTACATCTCCAATTCTCTTTTCCTCTTCATCTTCCTCACATCCCAATCTTTCCTGCTATCTTGTCTTTCTTAGTTTTCCTGTCAATTTGGAGAAATATCTGCTAATCTGAAGTCAACATAGACCATTTAAGCTGGGAAAGATGTTAGAGATTATGCTACGTTCCTTCTGTGTCTATAGTTGAAATTCTAAGTTTAAAGTTCAGGCCCCTGCATTCCCAGTTCACGTTTTTTTGACTAACGGTAGAGGTGCCCAGGTGCTCCCATTGCAGTGGATAAACACATCACTGCCACCATGACACTGGCCATGTCCTTCTATGTGTCTTTTTCTTTCTCTTTGGGATTAGAGGGAGCCAGAAGATCTCATGCTCTGACACCCCACTAGGGAGCATCTGGGTCCTATGCCCCCTCTGTTGTCTCGGACACATGATGCTTTACTACCCTCCAGTAATCGCTCACCTGATATCAAAGCCTTCGCCTGAAGGTGTCAATGATTGAAAATAACCTTGGGTCTAGACATTCTGAGGGCTTTTGTTTAATTATGAATAAAAAATTCTGTTGAAGTAATGAATTTCTAATGGTTGGATTTTAGATATCAGCAGATGTAAAACTTGAGGTGGAAGTCCGATCCCAGGTCCCTCTCATCCTACTGTGCTGGCTATCTCCTCGACCTGAAAGCAAGTTTGGCCAGATGTTCTCATTTCTCTTTTCTTCTTTCACCTTATAGGTGTTTTAGCTCTTTGCAGGAGTGATCCTGTAACAGTAAGAGGAAAGAGGAGAAGAGTAAATATGTGCAAGGCAGCCCTTCATCCAAACTTTCTAAGACAATCTCATTTTGACTCTATTTGATAACTCTTAGAAGAGATCAGAAACCCCTGAAGTAATGTAGAAATAATAATAATAGTAATGAAACTACATTTACTGTACTGTCTATGCAGTCAGGAATAGCAAAATATTCTTTAATCATATGCATTGATCTTTGAGGTTCAGAAAAATAATGTTCACATATATAGGCAGGAGATTGCAGACCCTCTGATGGTTATGGCTTATCTTCTGCTTTATAGGTTACAAAGCTAGGAAGAATTCAAGAGAGGAGGTGAGGGCAATGAATGGCTTTTGTTTGCAGTTTGACAATCTGATGATGGTTGGGGTGCACTCTGGAGGCCCAAAGAGCCGTCTGTCATGTGAGCTCAACACAAGCTAACCCCACTTGATAGGATAAGGCTAAAGGCAACTGAGGGCTGCCAAGTCTCTTGCCCTCTGGGAAGAAGCATGCAGTGTCTCTCAAGAGGTTAGGAGCCCCTTCTTTCCTCTGGGATTCCTCACATTAATCTCATGCAATTCACCAAGTTGGAATGTAACCTGTGCAGCCCTAATTTCTTTTCCAGGTGACTCTCCTGGGATATGGCTTCCCCCACAACATTCCCAAAGCCAATCACAATGTTCTATGACTGTAACAGAGAAACCTCAGAAATGGAATCAAGAGGTAGCCACTTAATAAGGCAGCTGGTGGACTGAATTGAATGAGCTAAGATCAGCCAGCTCAAACCCTTCATTTTACCAATGCCGTACTTGAGGTATGGAAGTTGGAATGTTTAACCTGGTTCCCAAAGTAGGTTAGTGGCAGAACAGATTCTGGAACCAGTTCTCCTGCTTGTCTTTTCCTGACCTCCCAGCCGCCCTGCAAGCATAGTCATGGGGAAAAGAGAGGATTCTTGTTCAAACACATATTTCTGGGGATTTTCTGTGAAAAATGTCAGGAATGGGACATTTTATGAGCTGTTTCTTCAGTAATAGCTCTAAACTTTGAAGCCAAAACAGAGGCTTCTGGGCCCAAGGATTGAAGAGCAATTGAGGAAGGAAAGTTTAGGTTCACATGCTGCATTGTGCCTTCACTCCGTATCCTGTTTAACACACTATAGTCTGGCCATTGGTACAGAGAATGAATTAGTCCATTCTTACACTGCTGATAAAGACATACCTGAGACTGGGTAATTTTTAAAGAAAAAGAGGTTTAATGGACTCACAGCTCCATGTGGCTGGAGGCCTCACACTCATGGCAGATGGCAAAAGGCACATCTTACATGGTGGCAGACAAAAGAGAATGAGAGCCAAGTGAAAAGGGAAACCCCTTATAAAATCATCAGATCTTGTGAGACTTACTCACTACCATGAGAACAGTATGCGGGATACTGCCCTATGACTCAATTATCTCCCACCAGGTCCCTCCCACAACACATGGGAATTATAGGAGCTACAATTCAAGATGAGATTTGGGTGAGGACACAACCAGACCATATCAGAGAACACGTTCAGGGAGTCATATTTCCATTGCTGTTCTTTTGTATATATTAGGAGTCAAGGACAAGGTTGGGGTTCTACCAGGAAGACAAGATAAGGAATTTAGGAGTCAGTTGATCTGGCAGAGCTTTTATCGGTGATCACCTATGACTGAATTTAAGAGATATGTAGTTGGTAAAATGATAGGACATGACAACAAAAACAGTTGAAAAAAGGAAGGAGTATAGTGTGAGCACTAGGCTGTTTATTGAGCTGTTTTGCCTAGAGCCCTGAATAATACTTGTGAAATAACATAAACAAAATCAAATCTCGTATGATCAAGTATTCTACTGTGTTGGAGATTCCAAATGTTGCAATTTTAAGATAAAGGAGACAATGAAGACTACAGGCTGAATTGAGAATATGATTGTCACCTTAAAAACAAAACAAAAGGTGAAGCCTAATTCCCACCCTCACCCCCACTCTCATACCTGGGTGTGGGCTAGACTTAGTGAGTCACTTTCAAAGAGCAGAGAGTAGGGTAAGGAAAAAGGAGTGACTTTACAGTGGAGAACTTAGCCAAGGGATTGAAGTTAACATTGTCAATGTTGTCATGTGGGTATCATCTTTACTGATATGATGTGATGAGAAGGACATTTCTATAGCATTCTTTCCCCAAAACCCATAACACCAGTCTCAACATGAGTAAAACTCAGAGTAGAAGACATTCCGGAGGCTGCCTGGTCAGTGCTCCTCCAGCCTATTGAGGTTATAAAAATCAAATATGGACCAGAGGATATTGCGGAAATACGACAACTAAATGCAATGTGGTACTCTGGTTTGGATCTTAGAACTGAAAAAAACACCTTTGATAAAAAGCTGGTGAAAGTGAAATAAATCATGGAATCCTGTTAATACTGTACCATGTTGGTTTCTTAGTTTTGATAATGTATTGTGGTAATGAGAGATGTTAACAATGTGAATAACCACTGTCTAGGCAACTTCTCTGTAAATCTAAAATTATTCCTAAATAAAAGGCTATTAAAAAATACAACAATAGCCCACAAGCCAACCAACAATCTCCCTTGGCCATGTGTCTCTGCTTTCATAGTTGAGCCTCCTGAGAGACACATTCACTGTCCTCATTTGCTTTCTCTACCAGTTCATTCCCCAGCCCACTTCATTCCTGTTTCTGCCCTACCAGACTCCTGTCTGTGATGCTGTTGACACAGTGGCCATTTTGTTCTTTAAACTCTGTCCACCTTTAGTTAGTGATTGCCCAGGGTCTCAACTGCAGACCTTTCCTCTCATCCCACACATGCCCTCTGGATGATCTCATCTTACTGTGTCTTCAAGTTCTGCACATTGTACACACCAATGACTCTGAACTCCATTTTTCCAGTTCAGACTTTTCCCTGAAAATTCTCTTGCCTACTTGCTATGATTTGAATGCCTGTCTCCTCCCAAACTCATGTTAAAATTTAATTGCCATTGTAACAATATTCAGGAATGGGACCCTTACGAGGTGAGTAGGCCATGAGGGTTCATCTCCCTTTAATGGATCAATGCTGTTATCACAGGAGTGGGTTTCCGATAAAATAGCTCTTTAGCATCTCCATCGCCTTATCTTTGCCTTTCCGTCATGTGATGTCACAGCAAGTCCCTCACCGGCACCTTGATATTGAACTTCCTGGCTTTCAGAATTGAGAGCCAATAAATGTCTGTTTATTATACAGTACCCAGTCTGTGGTATTCTGTTATAGCAGCACAAAGCATACTAAGACACTACTTAAAACCTCTCTTGAGTGCTCCACAGGCACTTACTCAAAATAGCCTCAAACCAAATTTCTTTTCCTCATCCCCCTTCCCTGAAAAACTTCCTATATTCCCTGCGTTGGTGAGTGGCATTGCTGTTCATCCAGTTGTCCAAGTTTCAAGTAAACTGGAAAGTTTATTCGAGCCATTCATTTTCCTCACTCCCCATGACCACACTAAAAACCTCTTAAATCTGTCCTCTCTTCTGGGTCTCGTTACTACCTTTGTTCAGGCAACCATTCACCTTCACCTGCCCAGCTGCCGTAGTCCGTAAATGGAGTCTTTACTTTTGTTTTTGGAGCCTTTGCCCTTTACTTCTGTATCTCTTCTTCAATCCAATCTCCACATTTCTGACAATGATATCTCTAAAACTAAATTCTAAACCGATGATTCTTTTTCTTATAACCTTAAATGACTGATAGGAATATCACTTTGAAGAACATATCCAAACTTCTTTAGAAAGTATTCAAGGGATTTCATCATCTGACTCCCCCACACCTCTTCTGTTTCATCTTTTTCCACTCCGCCACCTGTGCTCTAGATTTCAGCCACAGCAAACTCCTTATGATCTTCCAGTTCTCAGATACGGCCTGCTCCCTTTCTCTCTATGCTGACTTTTGCACAAACAGAAGGCCAGTCCTTCCTTCACTGTGGCCTAGTACTGCCCAGTACAATTGTCAAGACTTAGCTTTATTCTGCCTCATCCTGAGGGACCTGAGGCACAGAGAGATTTGGTAATGTGCTCAAGGTTAACTGACCAGCAGTGGCTTTCTTCATTGAGGAACTTGAGCTGGTAAGAGTTTTTCATTTTTGGTTTATTTGTTTGTTTGTTTGGTGATGACATCCCAGAGAAGCAAAAGGGGTTGGGGCATATGGTCTGTTGGTTACAGAATTCTTTATGAAGTGAGGAAGGGAAAACTGGAGCAGCATAAGTGAGTGTCTCACACTTGCTGAGTCTGAGACAGGTGAGAATAAGGGAAAAAAGGCAAAACGTCTCCCAAAATGATGGACTGGTCCCAAAATTTAAAACGTTAATTTATAACAATAAACTCCAAAGAAAAACATCCACTTTGGCAAGTGATTCCCAAATTGGAATGGCTGATGGATGGCAAGGGAGCAAGTGCTGAGATGAGGTATGGTGCTGTCCACAGAGAAGAGGGGCAGACGGTGGTGAATTATGGCTCTAATTCCACCTGGACTGTGAGTAAATAACACAGTGCCAGAGTGAGGCTCCAGATGGTTTGTGTTGTGAGTGTGACCAGAGCTCCACAGAGGAGCTAGAGCCTGGGAATTCAAGCCAGACCTGCCTTTATATGTCATAGCAATTTACAAACCTGCCAGGATGTGTCTATTGGGTGTGCCGGTGGCCCTTTGATAAATGCAGGCTTCCATGGAAATGACTGATAGCAAACTTTGGAGGCCATGTCACATCCTGGCTAAAGTCCACTGCTTCCTGGGAGACAATTATTGATAATTTTAGGGAAATGCCAGTGAGCCTCACTAAGTTTCATACACACACGTCAGCCCATTGCATCTATTGCAAAGTGAATGTTCTGGGCTGGGGGAGGCAGAATTAAAATATGAAAGTAAAGTGGCTATCCTTTTTAACCTCCACCTTCATACCTTATTTTATATGTTCCCACTTCCCCACCCTCTGCCCCACCACTGCTGGGGCTACTTTGATGAGACAATAATGAGGGCTTGTTCTCATAGAAGTGTGTGAGAAATGTGGAGGCCTTCCAGAGGCCTGTGTCATCCATGGGTTAGAGCTATAGCTACCCAGCTGAAAACATAAGCGAGCTTTCCCAGTGGCTCCTGTCTGTAAAGCCAGCATCTCCAAACGGGAGCTCATTCCTGCTTCAGTGCCACTAGGAGTGGAGGAAGCTTGCAGGGCAGTGTGTAACAGCCTGAAGTCAAAAATGGAAGAGGAGGCAGCAGTGCCTCAGGCCTGAAGGGATGGAACACAAGTAGCAGGTGGCAGGCAGCTGCCTGGGAACTGCAGGGCACAATGAATTCTTTAAAGACAAGGCCCATATTGGCATTATTGTCTTTGGATGTGCATATGTCTGAGGACAAAGCACAAATTCTTTCAGTTGGGGACATAACGTTTTATGATTTATTCCCTTATTCACAAACTACTTTTGAGAACTTATTACCTAGAGGATCAAAAAAGGAATATGGCATATTTCCTGCCCTTGTGAGTAATGAAATCAACACACATTTACTGAGCATGTTCTACTCACAAGGTGCTGGGTGTGGAGACACAGAGATGGAAGTTGCTGTCCCCAATACAGTGCTCATCATCTAGTCAGAAAGACAAACTTTTTTGAAAAATGTATCTTGATAGAAGAAATTTTAAGAACCCAGTGGATCTTTCATGGAAGGATATTTAGTGACTGAGGCAGAGGGTGGGATGAGGGAGCAGCAAGAAAGAAGCTGGTATTGTCATCGAAGGCAACCTCATGGGGGACTTTATGCTGAAGATTTGAGGAGCTGTGGACAACTCTCTGTAAGGAATGACACATTGAGATAGTGTTTTATATTATTTGTCAGTTACATGAAGGATGATTGAGGGAAGCAAGACCAGAAAAGCAGGGGAAAACAAAAAAATGAAGAAAATGTGCCCCGATGTTCCTTTTCTTATGTTCTAGACTTCACATCTCTAGCAACTACATAGTGATATGGTTTGGCTCTGTGTCCCCACCCAAATCTCATGTTGTTTTGTGATCTTCAGTGTTGGAAGAGGGGCCTGGGAGGAGGTGATTGGATCATGGAGGAGGATTTCCCCCTTGCTGTCCTCATGACAGTGAGTGAGTTCTCATAAGATCTGGTTGTTTAAAAGTGTGTGATACTGCTCCCTTTGCTCTCTCTCTCTCCTGCTCCAACATGTAAAGACGTGCTTGCTTCCCCTTCACTTTCCACCATTTGTAAGTTTCCGCCATTTGTAAGATTGTAAGTTTCCTGAGGCCTCCCAGCCGTGCTTCCTGTACAGCCTATGGAACTGTGAGTCAATGAAACCTCTTTTCTCCATAAATTACCCAGTCTCAGGTAGTTCTTTATAGCATGTGAGAACGGACTAATACACACCCATACCAGAGCAAATAAATGTTAATTTCAAATAATTGCTGTGAGTGGCTTTAAAGTAAAATGGCTTGTCCATCCATAAATATCTTAGGTTGCCTTCCCCAGGAATGGAGGCCCATCTGCTTGCTTTGGGGCTCAACATAGGATAAACCTTCCTTTGTTGTCCTACAGGTGATTTGTGGCCTGCCCCCTAGGTCTTGGGGTGGGGAGTTGGCCTAGGTAACCAAGGGTTTCTCCATGCCAGGGAGGCAGGGGGTTTGGGGGCTGGCTGCTCCTGGGCTGGCACAGGTTCTTATTTTTCTCCTGCTAAATTGTTGAAGTGGTTGAAATCAGAAGCAAAATGCCACATTGTACGCCCACTGAAGTCTGGGCTCAAGGGAAAGGAAAATGATTGCCAGTGCATTCGCTGTTCCCAATCCACTCCTGGACCTTAAGCTGTCTTGAACAGAGTTGCCAAACAGCTTGGTAGAGACTGGCCTTTGGGTGGGTGTGGGCAGGGGATGAGAGGCGGGAGAGGAGCAGTTGGCTCTCCACCTTGATTTCTTCTTCAGAAGAAGCTCCCTTTCTGCAGGGCTCTGGGATCCTCTACGGCAGGGTAAGTCTTTGACTTTGCATGAGAACTTGCTGGCATATATGCCATTTGACTATCTATATGCAAATAAAGGTCTGTTTAAACTGATTTAGAGTTTACTCTCTTGGTAAGGTCAAATCCAGTTGCAAAGCCTTAGAAAGGACTTATTGTAAAAGAATGATAGCATCTTTTTGTGGACTGCTGGGCACTGTCCTAAATTTTTAAGTGGAAAAGGGAGATTATCAGGAGATGGTAATTTAGGCATCTGGCAGTGACAAAGTACCATGGAAAGAACAGTGTCTGGGGCTCAGTAGACTGGGGTTCCAGTCCCAATTCTAATTCAGTTGTTATCTTGTACAAATCCCTTCACTTCCTTAGCCTTGTTCACCCTAAGGGAAATAAGGGTGGTAATCCTTCAAGGCAGTGCAAATGTGAGATTTTCCAGTGGATCTGACTGAGGCCTGAAGAACTGAAAATACTTATGCAAGGTCTCAGAGTGAGGTGTCAGGGCTATGAGCAAATGCTCATTCTCTCTGTTCCATAGGAAAGGCACTTGGGTTCCACCTGGGTCTATGTGTGTGCTTTGCTGTGGGGCAGTGGGAGTGGCCACTGCAAGGTCTCAGGTCACCACTGTGTGCCTTCTTGTGTGGGTGCTAATATGAAGATGAGCTGTCACTGATAAAAACGGAGTAGTGCTGGAGAGCAAAGTACAGCAGCAACCTTCTGGCTTTTCCACAGTGTGATGATACCATAAGATCATGGTCTGCAAAAGGCACAGGGCCCAGAAGGTGAGGGTCCTCTTTTGTCCTTGAAAGGCTAGTAAAGAATTGATTCCTACCATGTGTTTGTGTGCGTCTGCCATTCGCTTTTTAAACATGCGCAGGTTTGTCTGGGATTTTGGCAGGATAGCAAGACCTTTCAAGATGACCACAGTGATCTAGGCTGATTTACAATGTGTTGCCTTGAAAAGTACATGCTCAAAGTCAGGCTTGGTGCATTCTAGGCTGATGCCATGTTCTCCAGACAGCAGCAGGCTTACATGACCCTGTAGAGTGTTCCTTAGGCACCCATTCAGTGGTGTGGGTGACAGCTGCAGTCCTCAGCCTTCTCTGTAGTTCCTGTGTCACTGACGTTTTCTGTAGCTGAGGAAAGGGACAAAAGTTGGTACATTTAAGGCAAAATTGAAGTGAGTAGATAAAATGCTGACTATTACTTTAGAGGAAGCAAGGAATGAGTCTTCAGGAATAGAGTTCAAAGCAAAATTAGCTTACTCCTTAATTTTTTCTATTTTAATTTTTAAGTAATATGTCATTTCATAATAAGAATAATAGCAAATGGTTATACAACTCTAAGTATCCCTCTTTCAAGTGCTGTATTAACCGATTCAAGCCTTACAACAACCCCACATGGCAGGCATTATTATTATTATTACCATTTGAAAGCCGGGAATCAAGATATGGAGAGATTAGCTACCTTGCCCAAGTGTCAGAACTGAAATCTAAACCCAGGCAGTTAGGTCCAGGTCTGGGCTTGTCAGCACCATAGCATACTGCGTCTCTGAAAAGCAAAAGCCAAATAACATTCTCAGTCTTATAATAACAAATAGCAGCTCCTTGTTCCACCCATCTCCAGCCCTAACTTTTGTTTTCCAGAAGTAGCCACTTATAATCCTTACTGTCGTTTCTTCTGGCATTTATTTCCATATTTCCAAAGATCACATTTACTGTCTTTTTTCTTGGTTTTTTTTTCAATTTTGGATATTATTTATTTACTTTGTTCAATGGAAGATGAAGATTTAGTTCTCTATGCCATCCCTCTGCCTCTTCCCTAAACACACACACATGTCATCTCCCCACTTGCCTTTTAAAACAACAGCACCATTTTTAGTTAAATCAGTATTCAGTGTCTTGCATTATATAATCAGGTAAATATTATTCAAAGATGGGCCATGCAATATGATATTACTCATTATCTTTTTCTACATTTTTGTAGCCAGTAATTCCTTCCTTTGTTTCGTGTTGTCATCTGTACAGCTAATGCTAGTTCTTCTGCAGCTTTTCTAACAGAGCTATAAAGCACTTCTCAATATGAACAGATACTTCAGGCAATCTTTCAGATTTTGTTTTTTCTTAGAGTTATTCCTCCTGGAGCCATCTGTCCTGTTCTTCCTATGCCAGTCAAGATTGTTTATGCTGTAGGCCTGAGGCATAGCTGTTATCCTAGGATTTATCTTCATTATCATCCTGGGAATTCCCTTCATTGGTCTCCTAAGTTGCGTCCCTGGTCTCCTGAATCTCATGTCTTTCTCTTTCCTAGTTTAGACTCTCATATTGGGGAATGTATCTTCCAGTACGTCCCTAAGAAACCAGGAAGAAAAAGTTTTGAAGACCTAACATGTTTTAAAATATTTTTGTTCTACTCTCACATTGGCTTGCAGTTTGAGTATAGATTTATAGATTGCATCCAATTTTTTGTTCTAATTTTAAGGCATTTCTCCATTGTCATTTAGCTCTTAAAGCTACTTTTTGAGAGGTATAAGACCATTCTTCTTTCCTAATTCTTTGTATGGAACTATTTTTTTTCTCTAGAAACTTTTAGGGATTTCTCTTTATCCTACATTTTATGATGATATGCCTTGATGGGTCTTTTTTTAATTTAACATGCTGGGTATGCAATACTTCCTCTTCAATCTGGAAAGCCATATCCCTTGGCTCAATAATATTTTCTTCAATTATTTTTTACAGTTTCTTTCTCTGATTGTTCTTTCAGATGATCTCATCAGTTGGATGTTGATCTTCATGGATTTATTCTTTAATTCTCTAACTTATTTTTTCAATGTCTTCTCATCAGCTTTTTTGTTATGCTTTCCAGGAGCTTCTCTTAAGTTTAATCGTCTATTCATTCTATTAAAGTTTTAAATGATGTTTTTAAGTGCTATAATATTTTTAGTTGTAAGAGTTTTTCTTGTTTGCTGTTATTTTGTTAATAGCACTCTTTTTGTACAGATTCAATATCTTTTCTTACAGCTGAGATTTAATTGTTTTCCTTTTTTTTTTTTTCTGATTTCTCAAATGCTTCTGCTCCCCCGGGTTATTTTTTTTCCTTTTTTGCTTTAGTTTTTTTGTTTGCTTATTTGAACTCATAACAGAAACTTAGTAGAAATGTCTTAGTGCAAGTAAATGGCACAGACTCATTCTTAAGTTCAAACCCTAAAAATCTGATTTGAACCTGTGTATACATTTACTAGCTGTGATACTAAGGGGGAGGAGGGTTTGTCAGTGGTGGGTTTGCCTTGGGGTTGTTGGATGAGGACCTAGATATTTCACTGGGTTCCCAACCTAAGATTTTTCTTCCCTTGGGGAAGATCAGATTCCCCTGAGAAGAGTTCTAATTCTCCAATCCCCTGCCTGAGGAATACAAGTCTGGCTCCTGGTGTTCTGGCTGCTGAACAGGGAAAGATGGTGGCTTTCACTGTTTCATGTGCATATATGTTTATCTATGCCACCTTCTTTTTCTTTTAGTGCCTCACCCCTGCCTTCAGCTGAGCCTGGTGTCCCCCAGTCCCTCTGGAGAGTAAACCTGTTTGTGTCCTAATGGACCAAAGGCAATTGCTTGACTGTGGGCTAGGGGAGGGTCTGGGGTCTACTTCTTACATAATTGTCAAGCAGTCCTCCTGTTTTCAGGCTCATCCCACACCAGCCTTGAGATACACAACACCCTCTCATCTCTGAGACTGGAGGGTGTTGAGACACACAACTGGGTTGTACTGGGTAACAATTGGCATTCATGGGTTCCACAGTTCCCGAACTGGCAGTTGGATTTTAGTAACCACTCATTTATCTACTTTCTATTCCCTAAATTTTGTTGACCATCTCTTGTCTGCTGTAATACTGCTTTCATTTTCTTTGTCATTATGTGTTTATATATTTTATATTATTATATTTTAATGCTGCTGCAGGAAGGAGTGGAGATGAGCATCTATTCGACTTTCAACAAACCTTTTCATCCACATGTTGGCTTTCTATGTTTAAAATAGTTGAAAACATCAACCGCTATTTCCCTTACAGGACAATATTCAGGGTTGACCAACATATCTCATGTTCATGTCAATCAGGAAACAATTTCTGATTGTCAGAGCATTGCGGAATTCAAAGGGTATACCTGACCCAATTTCTGACCTCAGGGGAAGAATAGACAATGCTCGCAGAAGAGAAGATGTACAACGTGGGCAGGAAAGGGGAAATTTCTGGGATTGGAGGTAAGGAGGAGCCACAGAGCAGGTAACTTTTGAGTTGTACTCTGAAGTTAGAAATGGTGCTTGTCGGGGAAGAGGAGAATAGAGCATCCTCAGTGGTAGAAACAGGTTAGAAAACACTTGGAGCAAGAATTTACAAGGCAAAAGGGAGGAAATAGGGAGGAGGCCAGCAACAGCAGAGAGCTCTTGGGAGCCTGCTTGGGAAGATAAGATCAGAAAGACAATTAGAAACAGATGGCAGAAGAAGCTTGTCTGTCAGGAGACAAAGCATAGACTTACATCTAGGGGCTTGATTTCCTTCAGTTATTGTAAGGAGATGAAGAAGTAGCTATGTACATTTCTTTCACAGTTTGACTCCAGAAGTTGGGGATTTCAGTAAGGTGGGTCAAAAGGCTGCAGTCAAGAAGAAGCAGTTACCCGAGTTGTTCCAACTTCCTGCTGGCCTTTGTGAATGAACTGAGGTGGGTTCCTTGTCATGGGGCTATCCTAGGAGAGGAAGTGGATTTACCAGCAAAGTGCAGTGATTCCTGAGAAACTCTTACTGAAGGTGAGCAGAGAGAAGCCATCCTGGGCTCATGAGTGACCGAGTGAAGTGAAGCCTGGTGGAAGACAATTGGGCTGTGCAAGTGTTGATTAGAAAGCATGAGACCTCGCTGACATGTTGATATGATGATGGTGTGGCAATCAATGTCTTAAGAGTTTTATTACTTTTCATCTTTTCACGCCAACTTTGAACAAATTGCTTCCTTTGCTGTGGTTTGCTGAAAATTAAGGAGCAATTTCTGTTTACTCTTGGTGAACTGAATACCTGAATTTGCTCTGATTCTTCTTGAAACCCAGCCTGAAAGCTTAGAACTCAGTCCACCCAACATCTCAGATTTCGCTATATAGGTAACAGGCCCCCTCTCCTTATAATAAGAGTTATTAATTTAAATTCTCTGCATACTTTGGAGGAGGGTATAATTCATGCTTATATTAATGCCACAAGGGGAGAGAAATGAGTGCCCTTTTCTGGTTAAAATCCACCAAAGAACCTTTGTGAGATAGAGGGAACTTGGTAAAGAAGGTAATTATGGGAATGTCTAATTTTCCAGGTTGACCAGATTGTCCAGATTTCCAATTCATTGCTAGTAATAGCATTCATTAGTGCCTCTCATTTACTACTGTCACCCAAATTAATTTTTGAAATATGGAGATAATCTCAGCTCTGTTCTTTGCAATTACAAACATCTCTCCACCATAGTTCATATAGAAACAGTTTAATTTAAAAATAATAGCATTCCAAATACATAAGTATAAAGGCTATGGTTTTGAAACTATGACTTAAAAGAAAGGAAAAATTTCCCCAGACAAGTTTAAAAAAAGCAAGTCACAATAAATAATGCAATAATGCAGTTTTAAATTCTAATCCAAACCATAAAATAAATATCTATGAGCTCCCACTGATATAAATAAATGATTGAGTAAAATAAGTGAGGGAGAGTAGGCAAATCTCCCATGCAGAATTCCAAATAATATATGTAGAAATTCTGCCCTCAAGCAGGGGAGCCTAACTCTTCACTCCTGAGGTCTGAGCTAAAAAGTGATTAATAGTAACTTCCTCCAAAGAGCACAGTGTTGAAAGGAGTGGGGGAGTAATTTTACAGTGGAAAACATGAAAAACACCACCTTAGCCAAGTGATTAAAAATTAACATCAACAGTGATAGTCATATTTCTAGTACATATTCTTAACATGATGTGATACAATTGGCAATTCACCTCTGTGGCCTCCCTCTCAATAACCCATAACCCCAGTTTAATCATGAGAAAAAAACATCAGAAAAATCCGAATAGAAGAGCTGTGTTAGGCCATTCTTGAGTTGCTACAAAGGAATACCTGAGGCTGGGTAATTTATGAAGAAAAGAGGTTTAGTTGGCTCATGATTCTGCAGACTATACAAGCATGGTGCTAGCATCTTCTTGCCTTCCAGAGATGCCTCAAGGGGCTTTTACTCATGACAGAAGGTGATGGGGGAGCAGGCAAGTCACATGGTGAGAGCAGAGGCATGAGAGTGAGGGGGGAAGATGCCACACACTCATAAAACCATATCTCTGAGAATTCATTCACTATAGTGAGGACAGTACTAAGGGGATGCCACTAAACTATTCATGAAAAATTCACTCCCATGATCCCATCACCTCCCACCAGGCTCCCCCTCCAATATTGGAGATTATAATGCAACAGGAGATTTAGAGGGAACAACATCCAGACTCTATCAAGGGCATTCTACAAGACACCCGTCCAGTGTTTCCAAACCTGTCAATATAAAAAAAGAAAAATCTGAGAAACTGTCACATAAACAGGAGCCAAAAGACACATGACAATTAAATGTGATATGGTATCCTGGGTGGGATCTTAGATCAGAAAAAGGACACGGAGTCAAAACTAAGGACATCTGAATACAGTATGGCCTTTAGTAATAACAATTTACCAGTGTTGGTTTATTAATTATGACCAATATACCATAGTAATGTAAGATGTGAATAGTAGGAGAAACTGGGTATGGGGTATATGGGAAGTCTCTGTATCACCTTCACAATTTTTCTGTAAATATAAAACTCTTCCAAAGTAGTTAAATAAATAAAATGAAAAGTTTATTTTTAAAAAAGCAACTCACCAAAAATGTATTGTGAGTCTACTTATGTAGAAACAAACTAATTCTAAAATATGCATATAATATATGTCAATATCAATACAGATACTTGGAAAACTATAAAAGAGGGCATGTCTAGTTACTGACTTGATTAGTTCTAGAGGAGGGAAGTGAGATCTTTGGATAAGGAACAATTAAGGGGACTTTTATTTTTACTGTACATAGTTACAAGTTTTGCATATATGTATGATAGACATGTATTATACATATATAATATCTAAATATGTAAATATGTATGATATATATTGTTATACATATAATTAAAACTAAACATGAAAAACGAAAAGCACTCAAGTAAAATGAATATTTTTCTAACCTTAGATCTTTTTTTTTGCTCTTAAAGCCAAGTGTGATAAAGGCAGTAGTAGTGGGGAGATTGAGTACAAGTAACTGAAGCTCTTGATCTGAAATCTCTAACAGTATCCCTATTTGGTCCTTCAGCAGACCCATGCTTCTCTCTCCGAAGTTAGACTGGCATCCTCTTAAGATCAGATTGTGTTTTGAAGTATGTAAGAAAAGTAATGGGCTACTTGGTTTGGGTCTTTCCTGTGAGGATGCTTCAGCCTCAAGGGTTTCATTTCTTAAAAGTGAACTGAATTAGTTTGCATCTTAGAAATTAGCCAAAGTACCAGGAATGTTTCTAGCTGGGATGATAGCATTGTTTGGCCTCCCCAAAGCCTTATTCAGCTCAGCTATTCCAAATTGTCAGTGGCTTTCTTCCAGAGTGGCTGGGGCTGTCTGAGATGAGTTCAGACTCACTTCAGGGGCATGTCACTTTCCTACGAGTGCAGATATGAAGCCTAGAAGAACTGATTGTTACAATAGGTTGCAGTTACGATAGACTTGGCCTTGGCCACAAGGTGGATTGGGGGAAGGATAAATCAACCCTCCTCGCTCTGGGGCTACTGAGAGGCAGCCAGCAGCCCATCAAGAGTGTGACGAACTTGGATCCCATCAAGTCTGACATCCAGATTGGAAGGGTTTCTCTGGGAAAGGAAGATGGTGACATGTAGAGATGGTATGGCAGCAGGAGTCTCTGCAAGGGAGAGTTACTATTATTATTATTGTTGTTATTATACAATTGCCTTTATTAAAGGAGACCTGTTCAGGTTGAAGCAGGAACATAACCATCTCTGTTACACTCTTAACAATGAAGCCAGGGATAGCCCACATAATATAAACAAAGTTTCCCAACTGAGCAGTCAAAGTCTGGTTTGAACCTTTTACTCAAATTTTATTGTCTTAGTTTCCTATGACTGCTATAACAAATTACCACAAACTTGGTTGCTTAAAACAACACAGATTAATTCTCTTCTGGTTCTGGAAGTGAGAAGTCTGGAACCAGTCTCACTGGGCTAAAGTCATGGTGTCAGTAGCACCGGCCCTTTCTAGAGACTCTAGGTGAGTGTATTAGTCCATTTCCATGCTGCTGATAAAGACATACCTAAGACTGGGCAATTTATAAAGGAAACAGGTTTAATGGTGAACTCACAGTTCCACATGCCTGGGGAGGCCACACAATCATGGTGGGAGGCAAGGAGGAGCAAGTTACATCTTATGTGAACACTAGCAGGAAAGAGAGAGCTTATGCAGAGAAATTCTCATTTTTAAACCCATCAGATCTTGTGAGATTCATTCACTATCATGAGAACAGCATGGGAAACACCCACCCCCATGATTCAATCATCTCCCACCAGGTCCCTCCCACAACTTTTTGGAATTATGAGAGCTTCAAGATGAGATTTGGGTGGGGACACAGAGCCAAATCATATCAATGAGAATTTTCTTCCTTACCTTTTCTGGCTTCTAGAGGTCACCTGTATCTCTTGTATTTTCTGCAGCTCCAGGGCCACATGGGTGCCCAGGCCATAGCTCCCACCAGGCCTCTGTCAAGACCAAGTCCAGACAAAACTTGCTGTTGAGAAGGGGACCCTCACTCTGCACCAGGTTTTATTCTCTTTAGCTCAGGACTCAGCAGATCCAAGCTGTAGATTGGAGATATAAACAGACAAGGTTGAGAAAGGCAAGAGGCAAGGCAACCCAGGTGCCCTATGCGACTGACTTGCCAGGGAGAGCAGATCCCGGGTCTCATTTCTTTCTCCTTCCCCAGCATCCACAAAGCCCTGCATGTTGTTTCAGTAATAAAACCTCAAATTTTTTAGCACTGTTATTTCATTGAACTTACCCAGTTTCTGTGCCACAGGTACTATTATTTTTCCTACTTTCCAGATAAAGAAATTTAGGGAGGGAAAGTGACCTGCTTGAGGTTACTGCAAGCAACTAGTAGTCCGAGGCTCAGGCTGCGTGGTGCTCTTAGATCTCACCATAAGAGATGTCAACAATTTGAATATCCAGTGCCTTTTCAAGAGGGGTGGAGTTATTGCTCATATTAATGGCAAAAGAGGAGAGAATGTGCCTTCTTTTCCAAATAAAAGAAAACCAGACCAAAAAACACCTGCATACAAATGCTCACACGTGGGACCAGGCATCACATTTATCATCACTGAAAGGTGCCTGAACTGCAGAAATCTTTTTGAGCAATAAGCTTGTCCTGGAATGTTGCCCTTCTTCACAATGGTCTTCAAGGCATAAGTATTCCCTGCAAGCCCAGAGTATTTTAATGCATGTTTTATATAAGTAGCCATTAGGCAAATGTTTTAAGTGGCTCCAGTAAGCTACTTTTACCACATATAGCCTGCTTTTTCAAAAAACAAGAACGATTAAGAGCAACAACGTAAATCAGCTATTTAGTCCACAAAATTCCATTTTGTATAATAGAATTATGAGAGTGTATGTTTCAACAATCTATTTATTAAAAGAATTTAGAGAAAAATTGCTGCCTTGAGTATGTTTTTTAGTCCCTCATAGTGTCTAGCACAGGAGCTTGCAACAAAGTAATGAAATGCTCAGTAAATGTTTCACTGGCTAAATGTAGTTAGCAACACCTTCATTAGTGTAAATATCAGTTAGCTTCTAAATGAGATGTCTTTCTTAGACACCTATCATAAGGTTACTCTTCATTGCTCATAAGATGCAGATTTTTAGCATCCTGTTCAAAGTTATTTGAAATCTGGCTCCAGCCCACCTTACCAACTTCCTTCCCTGTATACTGCAACTACATGATGTTGACTTATCCCTTCAAAATGCTTGAACTTTCTTGCCTCCATGCTTTTGTTCATTTTTGCTTTTTCTACCTAACATGTTCTTTTTCCCTTGTCTGTTACAATCCCTTCAAAACCAAATTCAAATTCAATTTCCTCTGCGAAGCCATATCCAGTTGTTACCACTCAGAATAAACTCTACCCTCTCTTTGGCCCGGGTTATAAACTGTGTGTAATTCTAATGTAGCACTTACCACAGTCTCCTGTAGGTTCCAGTTAGGTGTGTATATTTTGCTCCACATTCCACCATTCTCTGCTTCTTGAAGACACAGCCTCTTGCCTTGTGTTCTTTTGAATTTTCCAGTTACCAAGAGACTCACTTATATTAAATGCTCAAGAAATATTTATTTAAGGCAGTGGTTTTGGAACTGGGCTGCACAGTAGAAGAATATGGGGTAGTTTTTTTAAAAAAATACCAACTCTTATACCCCACCTTAAAATAAATAAGTCAAAATCTCTGGGAGATGGGGCCCAAACACTGATGTGTTAATAAAGCTTCTCACGTGGTTCCACTGTGGGCAGAGATGAGCTTTAAGATCTGTTAGCTGGAAGGTAGCCCCCCACTAACTCACAGTTTTTCCCGGCCTTGATCACCCACATCTCTGAAGATAAATCCTTGCACCTGGAAAAGTTTTGACTTCACCATGACTTTGAAGTGAACTTTAACTTCTAAAGAAATCTGTGATGACACAAAAGGCAGGTAAGATATATAGTTGAGAGATCAGCCCCCACATGTGGAAGTGGTTTGTTGCACTCTGGAATGTACCTGTGGAAAAGGTAGTTTTGAAAATGTGAGTAGCAGATGCTCCTGTTCATACACATGCAGTTGACTGATTATGGTGTGCAATCACTTCTCAAATTCAAAATCAGTTGTCTTCCAGAGGTGTTTCCCTTAATCAGGTCTGTGGTGCCAACATGTGGATTGGCAGACCACGCCTTTTATGCAGCTTTATGGAGGCTTGCCCTAGGCTGTCATGCCTTGCTTCCTGTCCTCCTGTCTTTACAGGTGGAATGGGTAATGTTTCTCTATGCCAGTACAGCTAGTTCCTATGAAGCAAGACTACTGGCCCTATGTCAGTGGTTAAAACCTATATTACTGGGCTCTATCCCCAGAGTTTATGATTCAGTAGGTTTGGGATAAAACCTGAGAATTTGCATTCCTAAATTCCCAAGTGATCCTGATGCTGCTGGACTAGTGACCACATTTTGAAAACCACTGCTCTGGAAACAAGAACAAAAAAGAGAATAGAAAAATAATTGATTTGATTCTTAAAGTGGTATAGGTTAAGGTTATAATTGCTTATAAAGGCTATGAGGAGAGAGAAGTGGCTGTGATTCTTTTTTTTTTTTTTTTTTTTTTTTTTGAGACAGAGTCTTGCTGTGTCCTGTCACCCAAGCTGGAGTGCAGTGGCACAATCTTGGCTCACTGCAACCTCCGCCTCCCAGATTCAAGCAATTCCCCTGCCTCAGCCTCCTGAGTAGCTAGGATTACAGGCATGCACCACCATACCCAGCTAATTTTTTTGTATTTTTAGTAGAGACGGGGTTTTACCAAGTTGGCCAGGCTGGTCTCAAACTCCTGACCTCAAGTGATCTGCCTGCCTCGGCCTCCCAAAGGTGACTATGATTCTTAATGTTTCAAGAGCTATTTCATGACTAGCCAATGTTACATTTTAGCAACAAAAAACAAGGAGTAAATATGTACATGATTTGTACTATGAGCTTCTCTGAGATATGAGTATGTGGATGGAGTTATGCTGTGAAATGAGAATTTAAAAGGCAATTATATGTCTGCTACAGAATTTGTTTTGTCACAAGTATGAAGCTTTATCATAGAATAAAATGGTATTTTTCTAATAAGAAAACCAACTGTGCTTAGCATGACCCTTACCAAACACATAAAGCTCAAGGCCTCTGCCTGAACCTCTAACAGATGGAAAGCTCTTAGCTGCCTCCAGAAGGTGTTATACAGTGAGAAGATTGAATGGAGAAAATATAAAACAAAACAAACAAACAAAAAGAAGCTGTTTCCCTGATTTACAACTATCGGTGTTATCTACTGTTTGCATCAAGTAATAACTCTCTTGTAGGACATTAAACAGGTGCTAAAAAAAAAAAAGCCCAAGGACAAGAGATTAATCAACATGTGTTTTCTCAATAACCCAACAGAACTCATCACCTGCCGTAGTTCCAGAAAGTTGCAGTCACAGGCTATGACTGAAAAGATTAAAAATGAATCTAAGAGATGATCCCACCAACACAAAGTGACACTTTATTTTGTGAATACAGGAAAGGCAGAGCTGGCAAAACAAATGCTAACACAACATTAAGGAGAACAGGAGTACAGAGAAGCAGGTGGTTGGGGAATCTGATTCCTGTACAGAGTAAACACTTAAGCTGACGCCAACGCAAAAACGAGGCAAATCCTTAGAATTCTAGTAGCAGAAGAACAGGATTTTAGGCTTTACAAATGTTGGACTGGTGCTTTTCTAGGTCTTCAAATTCACTTTTTTTTTTTTTAGCTTTTTCTTCCCAAGTTTGTCCTCATAAATATCTAGCCTAATCTGTTCTATAGTAGCACATAGAGTATACCCTGGGATATAAGACAGGATGGTAAAGGGCTGCACACTTTAACACCAAACAGCCAAGGGCTTTGGTAGGGTAGTTTCTATATCTTGGCGGGCCCCTTCCAGGCAGACACTGAAAAAATATGTATTTGGGGCAGGGAGGAGAAGAGTAGTGCCTATGAGGAGGATAGGAGACACATTTACTTAGAATATTTATGTATTTATGTCTCTCAGATAAACCCTCCAACTATATAGAAGTTGTCCACTTAATAGCTCAGTGGGGCTGGGCGCAGTGGCTGATGACTGTAATCCCAGCACTTTGGGAGGCTGAGGCGGGCGGATCACTTGAGGTCAGGAGTTCGAGACCATCCTGGCCAACATAGTGAAACCCCGTCTCTATGAAAAATACAAAAATTAGCTGGGCCTTGTGATCCCAGTTACTCGGGAGGCTGAGGTGAGAGACTCGCTTGAACCTAGGAGGCGGAGACTGCAGCGAGCCAAGGTCACGCCATTGCACTCCAACCTGGGCGACAGAGCATGAATCAGTCTCAAAAAGAAAAAAAAAAAAGGATTTCAGTGCTATCTCTGGAGTCAGGAACAGTGGAGAGGCCCCATCTCCTACCTCCTTTTCTTCTCTCTGCAGGAGGAAATATTCTTGTGCAACCCTGATTTAAGACATTCTCCAGATCTCTTTGTTTTTCACCCAGCAAAGGATATAAGATCTTTTTAAATCACACTTTTTTAAGTACTAAAATGCTCTTATGAGGCCCCTTTAGGGGAGATATTTAGATATTCTTTCTTTTATAATCCAAATTCTTGTCTGTTAAACGCAAGAAAAAAATTCTAAAAAAATTTTTTAAAAACTTAAAAAAACAAATACATCTGGTGAAATTAAGCATAATTTATTTTAAAATTAGGTTAAAAATGTTTACAGTGCTTGTCCCAACTTTTCTAGATGTTACAACAAGTAAACACTATTAGATCAAATTTAATTTGGTTTGGTGTTCTAACCAACTTACACCTTGATTTTCTTTTTTCCTTATAACAAGATTCACTCCGGTATGGGGGGTGGTCTTAGAAGTGTTGATTTTAGCTTTTCTTTTCAATGCAAACACATGCACCAAGGCACTTTCTTATTGTAAACTGAGTTAGATAAGCTTTCAGTGTAGCTCTGCTTTATTAAACCAGGAAGTTTATAGACCCTACAAAAAGAATATGTATTTCCATTTCATGTTGGCATCAGTGGCGGTACTATGTATAATGTTGTTAGTACTGGTAGCTGGAATTCTCCATGGGAGATAGATGAAAGACGGGTGACAATAAAAAGGGTATCAGAAACTAAAAACAAAATGTGAGATGGACTCTAGAATCAAGGGCACTATTTACTAAGGCAGAAACTTGGGATTTGGCCTTCAAATCTCAGACGAGAGTGAAACTGGGGCTCCCTAAATAGCACAGCAGGTAGCAGGAGGAAACAGGACAAGCTCAGGGAAAAGAAGAGTTTCCCCAGCTTCCAGATTTGCAGGGAGAAGAAGTGCTTTATGGAATGTGCAGTGCTTTACGTTATTGTTCAAAAGTAGTTTTCCGTATAATTTCGAATGCCAGGGAAATGTGTTGGTTTAGCTCCTGTTTAGGGGACTGAATGATGCAAGTTATAGTTTAGTCAAGTTAAATTAAAGAACAAACCAGTGTCGGTGTTGACATTTGATCCCTATAATACCAAACCTTGTTTGATTCTTCTGAGTTATTTGTGTTAACAGAGGTGATGTTAATGGCTTCCACCTTCCTTTTCATGCAAATGATAATTTCGTCTTTGCCAGTTCTGTGCCTGGAATTGTTGCATAGATGTGGATAATGAGGGAGAAGGAGAAGCAAAAGCAACCAAACTAATTTGACGGATTTACATTGGAAGGACAGAGAGCTACCTGCAGAAAAGAAGAGACTAGATTATGAAAGTAAGGGGAGATGGGCAAGAAAAATGAAGTCTAGCTCAGGACAAATTTTGAGAAAGCGTCAGAGTACATTTTGAGAGAGAAGGAGAAAGACTGGAAGAATTCATTATGCTGAGATGAGAAGGACTTTGGGATATAGATAGCAAACAGGATTTCAAATAATTTTGTGTTGCATCATACATGGGCTGTGAAAAGACTCACTCAATGTTCCCAGCAAACTCCCAAGAGCCAAGCACTCTTCTTCATTGTTTTCCTTATGAAACCCTTTTCTTTGCTTGTTTTTCTTACGGTACAGTTGATCAAGTCTCATTTTGAAATAGTTTTCCTTGGATTTCCAGGGAGTCTACTACAGTACAAATTCATACAAATCTGTAACAACCTCCCATTGCCATCAATTAGGGTTGCATTTGACTGCATTTAACACATAATCATCTTCAGTTAGTTTATTTTTTCCATATAACTAGAAGTCTGGAAATGGGCAGATCTGGGGAAAGTGCAATTTCTCAAGGAAATATTCCTGTCTTTAGGATATTTTTTTGAAGATGGCCATTTCACCTTCAGATATTGAAACTGTGTTCCAGACAGAAGAAGGATGAAAAGAGAAATGAACAAAGGCATATGCCCGATGAGTCCATCTCTTTAACCAGAAAAACAACAACTTTCCATATCTGATGGACCTCCCCTTAAATTTCTACCACAATCTTGTCACCTGGTCAACCCCTAGTTGGAAGTGAGCCTGAAAGACAAAGCATTTTATATGTGCACATTACTTCCCCACCGAGCAAAATAGAGCTTCTGTAAATACAAAGGAGGAAGAAGATAATGAATATTCAGCAGGCTGCTAGTCATGTCTGCTACTTTTCTAGCTTGCTACATTAAGCTGGATATACAGATGGAGACTGGCAGACACTTATTATGTTCTTCCCCCACACAGTTACATCTATAAATTTGTAGTCTGTTATCCTCAGTTTTAGACTTTTTATATCTGTCAAAGTATCCTAGATAGTATTGCTAGTTTTATATATCCTGTTAATTAGATCAAGCTGGAGAAGTCTGCCTTTCCCACCAAACTGAGACCTTTATGCCAATCCAAGAAATATATGAAAAGTCAAAAAATTTAACCAGAATATTTGAATATGTAAAGAAACCAGTAGATATTCTACAACTGAAATATATAATACCTAAGATTAAGAATAAATTAGATGAGTCCAACAGCAATTAGACACAGCAGAAGATTCAATTATTGAACTGAAAGACAGGTGAATAGAAAATATTTAAAGACAAATATTGAAACAACTGAACAAACAGAGCTTAAGAGTTGTATAGGATCTCTCCAAAAGTTCTAATGCACGTTTAATTGGACTCCCATAAGACAGAGGAGAGAAGACGGCAGGAGCAATAATCTAAGACATAATGGTTGAGAATTTTTGAAATTAATGAAATGCTTCAATTCACAGATACAAAAACATCAGTGAACCACAAGCTAAATAAACATAAAGAAAACAGACCTAAGCACATCAAGTCAAACTACAGAAAAATTAAAGACAAAGATAAAATCTTAAAAGGAGCGCGAGAAAATAACTGCCATAGTAGTATCTTAAACTCAATGAAAACTTATTTCAAAAAGGAAAAGAAATTAAAGTTTTTTCTTTGTTTGTTTTAGGAAAACAAAAATTAAGAGAATTTACTACCAACAGGTCTGTACTAAAAGAAATAGCAAAGGGAATGCTTTGGAAAGCTCAAAAATTATCCCAGCAAGATACATGAAAATGCCATTTGAAATAAAGAGAACTAACTGGAAATGATAAATATGTTGGCAAACATAAAGCAATAGTGATGGTATAGACAATAGTAGAAATGACTCAAAAAGTGTAAAACAAAGATGCTTCATAAAGATAATACAAAAGATGGAAGGAGGTAAATGGACTTAAAGTGTTTTAAGATTCCAAATTATAGGAGAAATGGTAAAGGTAAATATTTTTATTAGAATTAAATAATTTGAAAATGTAAGTTGCAATTGCTTGAGTAAAAAATAGAAAAATGTATAATTAACAAATGAATAGCAAGGAAAATGAATAATAAAATTATTTGATTAATCTAAAAGAAGGGAAGAAAATAGAATATAATACATATTAGTAAATTAGAAACAATAGTAATACATAAATGCATAATATATGTATAAACCCAGTTTAATCAAGTAAATGGACTGAAACTTTTGAGTAAAAAAAGTTATAGTACAAAATTCTTTTAAAAAAGAAAAAGTCTCCACTATGGTACTTTCAAGAGAAAAACAAATGTGAACACAGAAAGTTTGATACATACAATGATGGAAAATATCCTATGCAGGCCGGGTGTGGTGGCTCACGCCTGTAATCCCAGCACTTTGGGAGGCTGAGGCCAGAGAATTGTTTGAACATGGGAGGCAGAGATTGCAGTGAGCCAAGATTGTGCCACTGCACTCCAACCTGGACAACAGAGTCAGACTCTGACACAAACAAACAAACAAACAAACAAAATATCCTATGCAAATACTGACCAAAGGAAAGCTGGTATAACTATGCCAATAACAGACAAAATAGGCTTTAAGACAAAAAGTATTATGGAAGATATAAAGGATATTTTCTATTGGCAGAGGGATCACTTCAGCAGAATGGCAAAATCCTAACTCTGTAAGCACCCAATAACATAGCTGTAAATTATATGAATGAAATTTACTAACAACTAAAAGAAAAACTAAATAAATCAACAGTTTTACAACTATGGTAAAAGGTTTTAACATATCTCTTTTAATGACTGATAGATCAGGCAAATTATAATCTGCTCCCAGACAAAGATTTAGAAAATGTGAAGAACAAAATTAACCAACTTGGCCTAAAGTCATATATATGACCTAAGTGACATATATAGAACACAGAACCAATGTTGCCACATTGACATCTTTTCATTCTCACATGACACATTTACCAAAATAAACAATAATGTTGGTCCATGAGGAAAGTCTTAAAAAAGTCTAAATGACTGAAATTATTCAGAATTGGTTCTCTGATATCAATGAATTAAATTAGAAACCAAGACCGGGTGTGGCGACTCATGCCTGTAATCTGAGCAGTCTGTGAGGCCAAGGCGAGAGGATTGTTTGAGGCCAGGAGGTCAAGACCAGCTTGGACAAGACCTCATCTCTACAAAAAAGGGAAAAAAAGGAATTAAAATTAATGATAAAAAGATAACTGAAAACATTTAATTGCCTAGAAGTTAATAAGACACTTCTAAATAATTAATAGGTTAAAGAAGAAATCAAAATTAGAAAATACTTTGCGCCAAGTGATTATGAAGATAAAACATATAGTTTGTCACTTGAAGCTAAAGCAGTACTTAAAGAAAAATTTATAGCCTTACATCATATATCAGAAAACAATGAAGATCAAGAAATAATAATTTAAGCTCTGTCTTTTAAAAAACTATTAAAAATGATACTTAAGGAAACAAAATTTAGGAAACAATAAAGATAAGCACAATAATCAATTTTTTAAAAGTACAATAAAGTTAATAGTCCTAAATTTGATTTTTAGAAAGGGCTAAAGAAGTGATAAACCTGCAGCAAGATTGGTCAAGAAAAAAAGAAGAGAGAGAAAAGACAAATTATCAATATTTGGAATTAAAGAAGAGATCTCATTATCGATCCTACAGATACATTATTTTCAAAGATAAAGGTATTGCAAACCACTTTATGCAAATGGAGTTGACAATTTGTATGAAAAGGACAAATTTTTCAAAAAATGCAACTTACTATAGCTGAGAGATAAAGAAATAGAAAACCTGAATATTTCAATGTCTATTAAAGAAATTGAATATTTTATTGAAACCTTTTACTCCACACACACACAAATGACTAGATGGCTTCCAAACACATAAAGTAAATAGAACATAAATCTTATTCAACTTCTCCAGAAGGTAGCAAGTGTATGTTATTTAATGAGTTCCATTCATTTGAGATGCTTGTGATGTTTGTGAGTGGACATGTCCAATAGGTAGCTGAGTCTGGGCAGAAGGGATAAATGATTCGGGACTGACTGTGTGCAGATGGTGACAGAAATCACAAGTGTGAAAGTGTCTTTTACTAATTGTCACCATTTTATCAACATTATGGAAGAACCAAGGAGAGATAGTGGAATTCTTGCGATTAGGAGAGCTGCACATGTAGGCTACTTATTAAGAGTTAACATTCAAGAAACAAAATTATTCTTTTTGGCAGTTCTTTTTATATATCTTTAATACCAAAATCTGATGAGCATATTATAAGAAAGAAAAATTTCAGTCTTATCTTTCCTGTGAACATAAAAGCAAAAATTCTAAACAAAATATTAGCAAACAGGATCAAGCAATATATTGAAAAGGATAATATATCTTGACCACTAAGTTGGATTAATTTAAGAAAGCAAAAGAAGATCAACATATTAACAGAAAAATGAGAAAATCACATAATTTCAATAGATGTAGAAAAGGCATTTTATAAAATTGAATGTCTTTTAATGATCTAAACTCCAAACAAGCAAGAAATACTCTGATTATAAATATCTATTTTTAAAAATATACAGCCAGCATCATACTAAAGGTTGAAATAATTTCAGCTCTCCCCCTGAGTTTGAGAACAAGGTGGGATGTTGCATACACCACTTCTATTGAACATTGTACTAGTGATCCTGCCAAGTGCAATAAATAAATAAAAATGTGCAGGGAAAATAAATCAAAGTCATAAGGATTGGAAGGAAAGATAATGTTATTTTATTCACAGATGACATGATTTTATACTTTAAAAATTCAAAGGATTTTAGTGACAATAGCTTTAATAAGTGAATATTGCCAAGTGGCTGGATAGAAAATCAGTATACAAACATTAATTATATTAATCGGTATACCAGCCACAAACAGAGAGAAAAGAAAATACAAAATATATACCACTTAAAATAGTAACAAAAAACTTGAAGTTGAACAAATGATGTCCAAGAATCCTACACTGAAAACTGCAAGTCTGCTGAAAGGAGTTTAAAAATACCTAAGTTAATGGAGAGAGAGATAATATTCATGGTTTATAAGGCACACTATTGTTAAGGGGCCAGTTATTTTTAAATTAATCCAAAAATATTAATGGCATTAAATCCCAGACAAAATATCAGTAGGTTTTGTTATAGAAACTGACAAGCCATTTCTAAAATTCATATACAAAGGCATTAGAGAAAATAAGGTAATTTTTAAAGATAAGCTTTCTATTTTAGAGCAGTTTTAGATTGACAAAAAAATTGCGAAGATAGTACAGAGAATTTCCTATATATCCCTTACCTAGTTTCCCTTATTAACATCTTACAGTAGCATGACAGCTAATGAACAAATATCAACACATTATTAGTAACTGAAGTTCATATTTTATATTCAGATGTCACCAAGGCAATTTAAAAGCTCAAGGTTTTGCACTATCAGATTTCAAGACATATTGTGAGGCTTTTGTAATTAAGACAGTGTGACATTAGCATAGCATAGACAGATTTACCAGTGGAACACAACGGAGAATGGACAGTCCAGAAATGGGCTCACACACACAGTCACCTGATTTATCATCTATTCTATTGTTCTATCCAGGTTTCTAAATCTATTTGTTAGATCAGACTTGAAAATCATTTTATTCAAGAATCCTATATGTTTACTTTTCCAAAAAATCTTATATGTTTACTGAAAGAAGTGTGTTAAAATCACCCTAATAGCCTTTTTTGGTAAAGTTTTGAGGTTTTTTTATAATTAAGTGATACTAAATTGTATGTATTTTGTTGATGTTTGGATAAAAATATATTAGTGAATAATTGTTCATTTCTTTGTTCCTCTATGTTATACCCTGGAGGATTTTCTCAGTTGTATCTTCCAAGGAACTGTTCTCTCTTCAGTTTCTCCTGTCTATTCTTTTTCGAATGCTTTTATTTCAGCTCTAATGTTCTAATGGTTTTTAATGTCTACCTTTAATCTTTCATAACTTGTAATTCTTCCAGATGTTAGTCCCTCCTTTGGCTTTTTGAGAATTTTAAACATCCAGTGTTTATTTTAAAGTCTTTTCCAAATACCTCAATCATCTCTATATTGTCAGGAATAAACAGTCCCATCTGCTGGTTCTTTTGACGCTGAAGTCCTTTCTTGGCACTGGAATCCTCATACATCTTGCTTCATTTCTTTCTCCCTTCCCATCTACTATTGGAATGATCACATTTTTTTAAAATTCCACCTTGTCTTGTGCTCCCTTGGGTTAGAAGTTTTATTTTACATTTTTATTTTTGAGATGGTTATACTCAAATTTTTAACATACATGATTAATTTTAAAATGTCAAGTGGTGTCATCTCCACATTCATAGCAGATTTGCATCATTTCAAAACTACATGGGAACACTTAAGCCTCCAGCCATGTTGGAAGCTTAACTGGTAGTGAACTTTTCCACAAACCGTGAACAGCTAGAAAACTGGGTAAATATGTGAAATAACTTTCTGGAGATTGGGCATTCTGCTGTACAGTATTGTGTTCCCTAAGTAAAAGGAGAGCCATGAAATGAAACTAATGAGCCTTCCGGCTTTCTCCCTGGGCATTTTCTGTCCTGAAGCACAGGACAGAGAGGAGTGGGACCTAAGCGGAGCATGGGGGTTTTGCTGCACTGAGAGATTGGAGGACGGAAAGCTGACACAGCTGAACTCTGATGAACAGAATACTATGGGGAAGGAAACCACAAATGGGAAGAATTGCCGAAATCTGCTGTTTTAGTCCATTTAGGCTGCTATAACAAAATTCCACAAACTGAATAGCTTATGGATAGCAGAAATGTATTTTCCACAGTTCTGGAGGCTGGGAAGTCCAAGATCAAGTCTCCAGCAGATATGGCATTTGGTAAGGACCTGCTTTCCAGTTTGTAGCTGACACCTTCTTGCTCTGTCTTCACAGGCTGGAAGGGGTGGGGATGGCTCTCTGGGGCCTTTTTCATAAGGGCACTAATCCCATTCATGAGAGCAGAGCCCCAATCATCTCTGAAAGGCCCTACCCCTTAATTCCATTACTGGGTGTTTAGAATGTCAACATATGAATTTTAGGGGAATAAAACCTACTCCATATTCCATATTATTTTTCAGCCATAGCATCTATGCAGGGAGTGGTTACTGTAATATTTTTCCTAAATATTGCGCTGCATAGGTAAAGCAAGATGCCATGAGGGCAAGGAAAGAACAACTACCAGAGATTTGTGGGTTGAATAATTCCCACAGCTCACATATGTCTGGGAGAATTTCGTGTTCCAACTAGCCAGAGTGGAGAGACCTTGCAGAAAAGCCAACTGTTCAGTATAATTTTGTTTCTTGAATGATAACTCTTAATAAGTAGCCTACATGTGCAGCTCTCCTAATTGCAAGAATGCCATTACTTCTTCTTTGTTCTTCGATAGTGTTGATAAAATGGTGACAATTAGTAAAAGACACTTTCACACTTGTGATTTCTGTTGCCATCTGCACACAGTCAGTCCCAAATCATTTATCCCTTCTGCCCAGATTCAGCTATCTATTGGACATGTCCACTCACAAACATCATAAACATCTCAAATGAATGGAACTCATTAAATAATGCAAGAATGAATTAAAATAACATACAATGCTATAATGTTATAATTTACCAATTGTTTTCCATGTTTATCTCTCTAGCTATATTGAAAATTTTTGAGGTCTGCTGTCTGGGTTTGAGTCATTGCCCCTTCCCATATCCCCTTGAACAAATCACTAAACCTCTTTAAATGTTTACTTTTTTCACTTATGTACTAATGACACTTATTTCTGATTTATTTGAGGACCAAAATTTAAATAAGCAGTGTATATTAAGTGCTTTGTAAGTTGTAAAGGATAATAAAAGTGTGGGATATTATTATATTCCAGCATTCCCCAACAGCACGTTCCCCACACCAGCAACAGTACTGGGCATGTAAAGGGGGCTCAGTAAATGTCTGGATATTGATAAACTAGACTGTATGATGAAATTGGAGGACCAAACATCACGAGTAAGAGGACCTGACTTTGTTCTCTTCTGTACCACTGACTTCCTGTGTGATGTGGGGCCAGTTCCTCGCCTCACTGGACTTTTTTTTTTTTAATCCAGATAACATCTAAGAATCCTTTCTGTCCCCATGGCAGGCAGTTCTTAACAAAAGGCTTAGTTAACTCTGCTTTACAGATTTCAAAAGCAGAGTCCAGTGGCCCTTCCTATCAGACACCTTACATTTACCACCTTATCGATGTTCTATTTTCCTTCTGCATTCCACTTCCGTAGCTCTCCCAGGTGAAGATCTGGCATGTGATAGTGAATTCTCCATTGGAATCTCCATAACAAAGGGAAAGCAAGAGTAGAAGTCTCTGTAATCCCACAGAACTCTCTGGCAATGCTAGTTCTGGCCTTTTTTTCCCCATTCCTCACAGATGGACAATTGAGAAGACATAGCCAGTTGGCTTTTTTTAAAAAGCTAGTCAACAAGTTTCTTGACATAGCAAGTTGCTTTTCTTTCTTTCTGTCAGCAGGGAAGGGTGGGGACATGTTTCTCTCCCAGGCATGGGGGGCTGCCCATGTCTACCTTTATATACTAACCTCTCAAGGCTTACACTGGGGTCCATCCAATCTTGGCTGCATCCACCTAGATGGCCAGGGATCAACTTTCTGTCTGACTTCTATTTGGATTCAAGGCAGAAATAAGGGTCCCATGGGCAAAGCCTTTTTTACTTTGGGGCTGTTTCCAAAAATTAAGTTGCTGTAATACCCAATAACACCAGATAAGGAACAGAGCAGTCACAGTTGTTCCCTGGCCTTTCACCTCCTAGTGGCCATCAGCCAGTGGGCTTCAGGGCCCCCGAAGGCTGTGCAATGAAGCATGGCTGCTAGGGTCCTCTCTTCAATGTATTTAGATCCACCATAAAGTAAACTGCCTCAGGATGCCACCTTCCCCCAGCCCCTCCCAGGACTTCCAGAGGGCACTGCTGACATACAGATGGCCCTCTTTCCTCCTAAAACTGCTGTTTCCTAGCAACTCTGCTTTTGAACTTTTCCCATGGCCTTCGAAGGTATCCTTTTCTTTGTTCTGTTCTTAAACTTAAAAGCTATAAAAATTTGCAAAACATTTGTTCATTCAAAGGCAAAATAATAATTTTTATAATAATTTTTATGCACATAATTTCTCCCCTTACACATGCTATCTCTATATTTACCAACTCTTTCTCTTCTCTCTCGGGGACATTTTCTGCATTAAATGATCTGGAATTGTTTTCAGAAGAAACATAGAGAGAGCAAAGTAGAAAGAGGAAAGAAAGAAAGAGAACCAAAAGAAAGAGAGAAAGAAGAAGGAAGGAAGGAAGGGGAAGGAAGGAGAAGGGGGGAAGGAAGGAGAAGGAAGGAAGGAAGGAGAAGGAAGGAAGGGAGGGAGGGGAAGGAAGGAAAGGACGGAGGGAGGGAAAGGAAAGGAAAGAGAAAGAAAGAAAAAAGAAAGAAAGAAAGAGGAAGGAAGGAAGGAAAAGAAAAGAAACAGAAAGAAAGGGAGAAAGAGAGAAAGAAGAAAAGAAAGAAAGAAAGAAAGAGAAAGGAACTGCATTTAGATATTGGCCCCAAAATGCCAACCCCCGAAGAAGCCTAGGTTCTTAGCTGCAGTGTCCTAACACATTGACCCAAGACACACATTGACCCAAGTGTGTCTGCACCCAAGCCAGAGGCCCCACATTAATTTAAATCTGGCAGCAGCTTCAGCTGTTCTTCATGAGCAGAAACAGAATTCTCTTTGGGGATCTAGACCTAGGAATTTGAAACCCATACATTTCTAATGTGGATGGCAGGCTGGAGTTGGTGGGGGAAAGAAGGGGGTCACAGGTGTGCAGAGAGATGGAAATTAACTGGAGCCTCCTGAAGAGAGTGGAATGTACCAGAATTAGCCAGAAGACTGAGTGCTCCGATGTGGCCTTTATGCTTTAATGGTGGAGAGAGAGATGGTGAAGAAATAAATCCTTGCTCAGGCACTCTCTGCCTTACAATATGCACTACTCAGTGGTTTGGTATCTTTGTGCATTGTATTCTTTATTATATAAGAAGCTTGTAAACAGAATGTGAGCCCTTTTAGAGAAAGGATCAGTATCCTCCTCTGTTAAACAGAGAAAATGTATTCAGACTTTATTTAGTACATGACACTTTCCATTCACTTCACACACACACAAAAAGTTTCTAATAAAAGTTAAAAACAGATTCTCTATTATAACCTTGCTCTATTGCCAAACTCAGAGACTAAGGTTGTCACCAATGACCTAATAGGCAACTGTCCCTCCCCTATGTGAACATGATACATAAAGCTGTTTCTATTTTTAAGTAAAATATATAACGCCTTGTGAAATTTCTTGAAAGTATTTCTAAATGTTTTAGGCAAATCAAATTATCAAAACTAACTCCAGAAAAAGTAGAAAATGTGCATAGATAGTAGCATTGTAATCAACATAAAAAGTTGTTAATGAACTATGCCACCCAAAAGGAAAATGGCCATGGGTCCAGAAACTTTCCTAGTGAATTCTAGAGAGGCTCTAAGAATAGACTATTTTCTATCTAAACTGTTTGAAAGGGTGAACATAAAGTTCAAACTTCCCAATACATTTTTAAAGCCAGAAAAATTTTAAAGCTAAAATATAAAATACATCAACCTTATTTGTGAATGAAGACTCACAAATACTAAATATAGTATTAGCTAATTAAATTCAGCTACATATTAAAAGAACTACATACTACCACCAAGTTGAGTTTATTCCAGAAATGAAAAGATGTTTCAACGTCAGAAATCAAACAAGATAATATATTTTGTTATTTGGTGAAAGAAGAAGAGCTGTATGATCATTACTTGAGATGTTTTTCAAAAGGCATTTGTCAAAGAATCTATTTGTAATAAAAAGTATTTAAATGTCTTACAAAACTGAAGAGTAGTAGATTGCTTCCTTAATGTGATAAATATCTGAAAACAAAAAAATTTATATTTAATAGTGTAAGCCAAAATAATGCATCTTAAATTCATAATTGCCACTCTGGTTTAATTATTAAAGTTTTACATTGTAGTTATACAGTGACTCATTTGCCTTCCTTTGTGTTATCAACATTTTCTATTATTATTGTCTCTTTACTCTTTCATAAAAAAACTCTTTGTTTTGAATTTGATTATTATTGCACTAAATGTATAGGCCAATTTTTGGAAGAATGGAAATATCTATAATATTATCATTAATGAACTTGCTATATTTGTCCTTGTATTCAGGTCTTTATTTCTTTCAATAAGCTTCGTGATTTTCTTCATAAGTTTCTTAAACATGCACTGTTAGATTTATTCCTTGAGTAGGTGCTTTGTAATTGCATTGCTACTTTAAATGGATATTTTATTTTCTGTTACATTTTAATTAGGTACTGCTAAGTTAGAAGCCTGTTAGTTTGTTAAGACTTCCCCAACAACATTTCACAGAATAAGTGGGCTGAAACAACTGAAAATTATTTTCTCATGGTTTGGAAGCTAGAAGCACAAGACGAAAGTATTGGCAGTGTTGGTTTTTCCTGAGGCCTCTCTCCTAGCTTGTGGATGGCTACCTTTTTGCTGTGTCCTTGCATGGTCTTTCCTCTGTGCACGGACATCCCTGGGTCTCTTTTTGTGTCCAAATTTCCTCTGACTTATGAAGACAAAAGTCAGATTGAATTAGGGCTCACACTAACAGCCTAATTTTAATTTAACCACAACTTTAAAGGCTCTGCCTCCGAATAGTCACTTTTTGAAGTACCGGGTTAAGGCTTCAATGTATCATTATTATTATTATTATTATTATTTTTTGGTGGTGGGATGCAATTAAGCCCACAACAAAGTCTGTAATTTATTTCTCTATGTTAATATTTCTTATTAAAAGTAATAGTTTACAGTTCTGTTAGCTTTTTAACATGGACCATCATATTGTCTGAAATTAACATTTTTCTCTCTCCCATTCCAATTATTATTCTTTATGTAAATATTTTTCTGGCCTTATTGTGTTGGTTACACTTTACAGAGCAAGGATGAATAGAACTTGTGAATGGGATCATTCTGATCTTTTTCCTGCTTTTCCGAAGTCTACTTTTTCTTTCTTGGGGTGCTTTTGTGGCTCTTTAAGGTGTCACTGTCAGTGGGATTCCTTGCATGCAGTTCCCTTCACTCAAACACATTAACTGTTTACTATGCTTTGGGATGGATATTGTTAATATTTGTCAAGTTAAGAAAGCGATGGCCGGGCGCAGTGGCTCACGCCTGTAATCCCAGCACTTTGGGAGGCCGAGGCGGGCGGATCATGAGGTCAGCAGATCGAGACCATCCTGGTTAACATGGTGAAACCCCATCTCTACTAAAAATACAAAAAATTAGCCGGTCGTGGTGGCGGGTGCCTGTAGTCCCAGCTACTCGGGAGGCTGAGGCAGGAGAATGGTGTGAACCCGGGAGGCGGAGCTTGCAGTGAGCCGAGATCGCGCCACTGCACTCCAGCCTGGGCAACAGAGCGAGACTCCGTCTCAAAAAAAAAAAAAAAAAAAAGCAATTTCCTTTTTCCTAGTGTAACAAGCTTATTGAGCAGATGGGATTCAGCAATCTGCAAGCAGAAACAACTTTTACTTTTTCTCCCTCATCACTCTTGATCAATTTGGCTCTATTGACTAGTTCTTTCCTACCCTGGATAAAATAATGGTCAGAATCCCTACTTATGCAATTTGTCTCAGGTAAGAATATGTTCTACAGCTACTTTAGGTTATAAGTAGTCGAGTCCACTTAAATAAGAAAACTCTAGACTTGAATCCAACTTCACATTCCCCTTCTCCATCAGGGGCCTATCCCAGTGCACAAGCGCTGCAGTGAGAGGAAGGGCATGGCTGGCGTCCTCACTGTTTTTCACCATTCCTTGTTCTGGACTCACTAGTTGGTGTTTGGGCCTTTTGAGGACTGGTTGAGGTTGGAGGGAAGGTGGTCGTAGGAAATGTCTTTCTTGACTATCATTGCTATTCTCCGAATATGGTGGATGTTGAAAAGCTGATTTTTTCTTTCTTGAGATGTTTTTGTGGCTCTTTGAAGAGGCACTGTCAGTGGGATTTATTGCATTTAGTCCCCTTCACTCAAGCAGAGCCTTCCCTACCTGGTCTTTAAGAGGTTTTCCTTCAGGCTGCTGGCTTCTAGGGGTACATAATTCAACAGGGACATCCTCTTCCAACAGCCATTCGCACAGCATTTCTTTTAAGATGACTGGTCTTTGGGTCCATTCTGTGGGACTGCTAGATGGCCTATATGAAACACACTCATCCCTGCCCTCACCAAGCTGGGGGAGCACAAGCTCGTCCAAGGAAGCACTGTCTGTTTGTCACCCTCAGGCACCTCTCCACAGAGCCTCTTGCCTTTAGACTTCCTCCCAAGGCAGGAGGCAGGTACCAATCCAAAAGTCCTCAAATCAAAGCCTCCATGTCAGATTTTCCAAGAGGCTCTGTTGAAGGCCCTCTCATTTGGTCTCAATTAGAGATAAGTACCTTTCTTCTCTCGCCAGTGTACATGTGTGTGAGATTGCACAGCACAACTCTGATGGCTCAACCTTCTTGATGAAATGTTAAAGTTCTTTTCTATCTCCTTGAGAAGGGAGATGGTTGATGCTGACAGAAGAGGAATTGACTACCCCTTTCCAAGTTCTCCATGACTGGTGGCTTAAGCTGTTTGTTTTAGAATATATAAGTACTTAAAAATTATCATTTTGCTTTAATCTTTTGGAACTTCAACCAATATCCAAAGATAACAAGAAAGATAGGATGTCACAGTCTGACAAACAAACAATTTTGTTTTCTGTTTAACATGAATGAATCTTAAACTTTATCAGACAATTTGTCTGCATGCATTAAGATGATCATGTAGCTATTCCCTAGAAATATTATTATGAGATTATTTGTGTCTCCCCTGAATCTGTAGAAATTGTCTATATTTTTGTTCATAATATTGTTTATTTGTCTCTTCTTTTTTAAATTCCATTTTGTTAGAAATTTGCTGTCTTTAAGCCTTTACAAAATGAAAGCATTTTATCTTGTTAATCATTTCTATTATATTGAATTTTCCATTTGTTAATTTTTTCATTTTAGTATTTCTTTACTTCTACTTTCCTTGAGTTTTCTGTTCTTTTTTTTAATTATTATACTTTAAGTTTTAGGGTACATGTGCACAACGTGCAGGTTTGTTACATATGTATACTTGTGCCATGTTGGTGTGCTGCACCCATTAACTCGTCATTTAGCATTAGGTATATCTCCTAATGCTATCCCTCCCCCCTCCCCCCACGCCACAATAGTCCCCGGTGTGTGATGTTCCCCTTCCTGCATCCATGTGTTCCAATTGTTCAATTCCCACCTATGAGTGAGAACATGCAGTGTTTGGTTTTTTGTCCTTGCAATAGTTTGCTGAGAATGATGGTTTCCAGCTTCATCCATGTCCCTAAAAAGGACATGAACTCATCATTTTTTATGGCTGCATAGTATTCCATGGTGTATATGTGCCACATTTTCTTAATCCAGTCTATCATTGTTGGACATTTGGGTTGGTTCCAGATCTTTGCTATTGCAAATAGTGCCACAATAAACATATGTGTGCATGTGTCTTTATAGCAGCATGTTTTATAATCCTTTGGGTATATACCCAGTGATGGGATGGCTGGGTCAAATGGTATTTCAAGTTCTCGATCCCTGAGGAATCGCCACACTGACTTCCACAATGGTTGAACTAGTTTACAGTCCCACCAACAGTGTAAAAGTGTTCCTATTCCTTCACATCCTCTCCAGCACCTGTTGTTTCCTGACTTTTTAATGATCACCATTCTAACTGGTGTGAGATGGTATCTCATTGTGGTTTTGATTTGCATTTCTCTGATGGCCAGTGATGGTGAGCATTTTTTCATGTGTTTTTTGGCTGCATAAATGTCTTCTTTTGAGAAGTGTCTATTCATATCCTTTGCCCACTTTTTGATGGGGTTGTTTGTTTTTTTCTTGTAAATTTGTTGGAGTTCATTGTAGATTCTGGATATTAGCCCTTTGTCAGATGAGTAGGTTGCGAAAATTTTCTCCCATTCTGTAGGTTGCTTGTTCACTCTGATGGTAGTTTCTTTTGCTGTGCAGAAGCTCTTTATTTTAATTAGATCCCATTTGTCAATTTTGGCTTTTGTTGCCATTGCTTTTGGTGTTTTAGTCATGAAGTCCTTGCCCATGCCTATGTCCTGAATGGTATTGCCTAGGTTTTCTTCTAGGGTTCTTATGGTTTTAGGTCTAACATGTAAGTCTTTAATCCATCTTGAATTAATTTTTGTATAAGGTGTAAGGAAGGGATACAGTTTCAGCTTTCTACATATGGCTAGCCAGTTTTCCCAGCAAGAGTTTTCTGTTCTTATGGCTTCTCTGTTTTGAGTATTTATAACTTTTTTCTTGTTTTTCATAACGTATTTGAATGCATAAACTTTCCTCTAAGCACAATTTTATTATAACTCACATATAGCTTTTAATATGGTATGCTTTTCTGTTGTTTAGTTCTAAATATTCTGTTATTTGCAATATCATTTTCCTCTGAAACCCATAATTATTTTGGAGTGTATTTTTTAGTTTTTAGTTTTAATATACATATAATTTTTCAATTATCTTTTTAATTTCAATTTCTAATTTAACAGCATTGTATTAGAGGATGTGATCTATTATGATATCAAGTCTTTATGATATTTTGAGTCTTTAGGGTCAATGTATAGTTAATCTTTAGAAACGTTTTAAGTATACATAAAAATAATTTTATTTGTTGGTGGACAAGATTCTGTATGTACCTATCAGATAAAATTTTTAATTTTATTGGTCACATTTTCTATGTTCTCACTAATTTTGTATCCAATTGATTTGTCTGGGTCTGAAAGAGGTACATTAAAATCAATTGGTTTAAGCAATTTGGACAGTTTGACAGTGATATGCCTCAACATGGACTTCTTTGGGTTTATGATTCTTGGTGTTCATTTAGCATCTTGTTTCTGTAAATTTCTGTCTTTCATCAAATTTTACATGGCACTGTTTGATATTATTTAAGAAGTCTCTAAAGCTGTTCTTTATTTTTTCCCCTGTTCTTCACCTTGCATAATCTCTATTGCCCTGTCTTCAAGTTTACTTGCACTTTCCTTTGCCATGTCCTTTCAGATGTTAAATCCATCTAGTGATTTTTTTGATTTCCAAAATTGTGTTTTTCAGGTCTAGAATGTCCTCTCTTTTGTTTCTATTTATATTCTTTAATTTCCTATTTCTCTGCTGAGATTTTTGTTCATGGAAACCATGCTCTTTTGCTTCATTTAAAATAGTTATAATAACGACTTTAAAATCCTTGTTTGTTAGTTCCAACATCTGGTTTATTTCAGGGCAAACTCAACTGATTTTCTTTCCTTTTGAGAATGTATTTCATTTTTTTGTTGTTTTTTGCAAGTTGTGTAATTTTAACATGATGCTTATATTTTCAGTGGCATGCAACGTTGCAATTATGTGAGAGCAGAGCTCATTCACAGCTTCCATCATGAACTCCCTAAGGCTATGCAGTCATCTGGGAGATAGGAGGAGAAATTTCACAAACAATTTTTTTCTCTTCTCCAAGTGGATAAAGTCAAGTTCATGGCAATTAGATATATTCATGTGATGACCTCACCATTGGATGTGTGTATTTATATTTAGAAAGATAAATAGTTATAATCTTTAAAAACCATTTGTGTGTTGCTATCATTGTAAAAGATCGTACAGCATTTTCTAATATTTATGTTACAAACAACCTTAAGACAAAATATATTTCCCAAATACCAAAACCTGTTCAAATGGGCCCAAGAGACTTTCTTTAAAATCATGTCATTCATATGCTAAGGCAGATTTGGTTTTTCTGGAATGTCAGCTTATGCCAACCAACTTCTAAATGTCAATGATGTAACAACAGGGTGAAGTCAAAGGCAGTTTAACTTTCAAGGGATACTGCCAAACACTGTACTGTCTTATCTAACTTCATGGAGGAAAAGAATGCCCCTATTCATGCTCTTGTGGTTTACATAGGGAATTTATTTGTGATACTTCAATATGGTATTTGGAAGTGACAATTCTAGGGAGAAGACACTATTTCTTTCTGATAAAATTCTGTTCTGCTTGTCAGTAATTTCCCCCTTATACTAAAGTTACTTCATTAGACTCACTTATTTCATTAGAAAAATATTGATAATTGTTTCATCTGGATGATGGTTATAGAATAGTGTATCATATTAATTCTCTTTACCTTGGTTTGCATTTGAAAATGTCCATAATATAATTTTTAAAAATTACATCTTTGTGGTTAAGAAATAGAAACACCTGTAAAATTTTTAATGAATTTCCATAGTGGTTAGTTTTTAGTATCATGGTTCAGAGCATAGCATTTTAAGCATAAATATGAGCTTGGAGACTGCCAAATTTGAATTTTGACTCTGTGTGAGAGTCAGAATTGGGCAAATTGATTAACCTCTCTGGGCCTTGGTTTCCTCTTTTTTTTCCCTTCTCTTCCTTTATCTATCTTCCTTTTTCGTCTCTCCTCTTCTTTCCTCTCTTTCTCATAAAAATGCCAAAGAATCAATAATAGGTACTAGATAGTACACAGAAGGTAGTATCAGGTAGCCTAAGTTTGATTCTGACTCTACTTTCGTTACTCTCTCAATATGTGCATGCCCATCTTTTTTCATTCTCACAACACTGAAATCATTTCTCTGCCTAGGAAGCTCTTTGCTCACCACTTTGCCTGCTAGGATCCCATTTACACTTCTGGTCTCGAATATACTTCTTTGGATGAGTCCTCTATGATGAACAAAACTAGAATACACACCTTTTTATATGTTCTCAAAGATCTCAGGACTTTTTCCCCTTGGCATTTAGCACAGTTTCATTTCATTGATTATTACTAATGGTATATGTCTGTCTCCCTCACCATACTGTAAATTCTACAAGGATGGAGCCAGGCCGGGGTGGTGGCTTATGCCTATAATCCCAGCGCTTTGGGAGGTGGAGGCAGGAGGATCACTTAAGCTTAGGAGTTCAAGACAAGCCTGAGCAACATAGTGAGACCTCGTCTCTACAAAAAATAAAAAAAAGTTAGCCAGGAATGATAGTATGTGCCTGTAGTCTGAGCTACTCAAGAAGCTGAGGCGGGAAGATCACTTGAGCTCAGGAGATCAAGGCTGCAGTGAGCTATGATTGCGCCAGGCTGTACTCCAGCCTGGGCAACAGAGCAACACCCTTTCTCAAAAAACAGAACAAAACTAAAAAGAGGGTGGGATCCATTCTATCTTGTTACCTTTGTTACCCCAACACTCATCACGGAGACTTTCTTGTAATAGCTGATCAAATATTTGAGAAAGTTTCTGTTTCAATTACTTTGTCTATAATATGTGAGTAACAGCAGCAATAATAATTCACATCTTCTGGGCTTTGAAACAGTAAACTAGATAAACCCTATAAAGCTTTTAACATAGCACCTGGCAAAGAACGAAATCAATACAGAGTAATGAATTTAGTAATTATTAAAAGTGCCATTTTTTTCAGAATTACTAGAAGTTGCATAAGTAGATATTATTTGTTATCTGTACAAGAGCAATTTGTAATTTAATAGGATGTTTACAATCTTTTGCTCAAAGAAAGTTGCTGTTTAACTAAAATGTGTATTTCAATGTCTCTCTTTCTTTTTTTTTTTTTTTTCTGAGACGGGATCTCACTGTGTTGCCCAGGCTGAGTGCCGTGGGGCGATCTCAGCTCACTGCAACCCCTGCCTCCTGGGTTCAAGTGATTCTCCTGCCTCAGACTCCTCAGTAGCTGGGATTATAGGCACATGCCACCACACCTGACTAATTTTTTGTATTTTTAGCAGAGGTGGGGTTTCACTATGTTAGCCAGGTTGGTCACAAACTCCTGACCTCCTCGGCCTCCCAAAGTGCTGGGATTACAGGCGTGAGCCACCATGCCCGGCCCCAGTGTCTCTTGATAGGATCAATTGTCATATAGTCTTTCCTTAACCAGTTTCAGAAGATACACCTATAATTTATGTGGGGTGAATAAGATAAAGAGACGAAGGAGTCGGAGATGGTTTGCCACTGTATAATTTAATTAATTTGTGTGTTTATTTGATTGCCAGGAAATTACTGGTATTCACTGATTATTTTGACATGCAGTTGACTTATCTCTTGGGGAGAAATAAAACATTTTAAACTTCAATTCCCACTGTGTCAAAATCTTTTTTAAACCTGGGTTCACAGGGACAAATCTGTGACTTTTAAAGAAAGACATACTCCAGGCCGGGCACAGTGGCTCAAGCCTGTAATCCCAGCACTTTGGGAGGCCGAGGCGGGTGGATCATGGAGTCATGAGATCGAGACCATCCTGGCTAACACGATGAAACCCTGTCTCTACTAAAAATACAAAAAATAGCCGGGCATGGTGGCGGGCACCTGTAGTCCCAGCTACTCGGGAGGCTGAGGCAGAAGAATGGCGTGAACCTGGGAGGTGGAACTTGCAGTGAGCCAAGATAGCACCACTGCACTCCAGCCTGGGCAACAGAGCGAGACTCCATCTCAAAAAAAAAAAAAGGAAAAAAAAAAGAAAGAAAGACATACTCCAATACTCCGTTATATACGATTGCTTTCCCTTGATTGCCCTCCCCTAGATGGAACAATTTTGTAGGTGGCTGGTGAAGTTGCTGGGCACCAGGATGGAAAATTCCGGATACATGGGACAGTTGAACACCAACTCCATTAATGCTTTTATTACCTCGCTCCATTTGTAATGTAAGTCCTTCAGAGATGCTTCAGGTTTTTCTACTCTTAGAAGAAAAGTCAGAAGCTGAGTGTGGGTGCATCACCTTTATAATCAGAACACTCCTTTTAGTTCCTAATGTGGAACATATGGTGGTTGAAGAGGTTGCAGTGTTACAGAAATGTCATCACAGAATTTCTCCATGTTAACATGTATCATCTGTCACATAATTGTTTGTTTTACAGCCCATACCTATAATGGGCTAAGTGGGGACTATTTATATCAGTTAACAATGAGTACCTTTAATTAGTATTTCATGCAACTGGAACATGTTAAGGAAGCTGACACAAATCTGGCTAGGTTGAGAGATTCCATGTGAATTTCTTTATGGAATTGCTAAGATATTACGGTTGCACAGGTACCAACATTTCTGATTGAACTTCAGCTGCTTTAAATGCTGTGTACATGCAACATGTGTGAAAATGACAAACCATCACACTGGGCACTGCCACTCAGCTGATGGACATGTCAAACTTGTCCACTTTGTTTGCTAAACCCCAAATGCCTGATGCTAGCTCATCTAGAGTCCTGCATGGGCCTGCAGATAACACAATTATAGAGCCCGTGCAAACCTTGGGGAAAAATGCTTGAAAAAGAAACAATGAGCAAAGCTTTGTGGTAGAAGCACACTAAGTGAGAGATTGGCAGTTGGATGAAGTGTTTTTGTTAACTAGTGCAAAAGGTTTTATTTTTCCCATTCTTATTTTTGGACACCTTTATTGATTTGAAGACATTTCATCAACATCTTAGACAGACTGAAGCAAAACTGGCTTTAGGAGACAATGAAGACATAATTACATGTCTAGACCTATAAGGAAGTATCTCCAATTAGATATATTGAAGAAGATAACCATGTCAACAAATCATTCATTAATTTCTTTGAAAAGGAATCCCCAGCTACGACTGCAATAGAGGCTGGTGGGCCATGCTAAACAAACTCTGAGCAGCTTCGTGTGATGTGCCCTCTCCCTGTTAGGATTTTGTAAGGTATGCATAGTATATTCAACCTGTCATCTTGGTTTACACAATCAGACAACATTTTCACATGTTGATCTCAGTTTCAGAAGGAATGCTAATTGTTTTGTCAACCTAAAATGAATTTTTAAACAGTAAAGTTTGTCGGGTTTTTTTGTTTTATTTTGTTTTGCTTAGAGACACGTTCTTACTCCACGCCAGGCTGGAGTGCAGTAGTGCAATCATAGCTCACTGTAACCTTGAACCCCTGGGCTCAAGCAATCTTTCTGCCTCAGCTTCCTGAGTAACTTGGAGTGCAGGTGCACACCACTATGCCTGGCTAATATTTTTATTTTTTATCTTTTGTAGAGACAAGGCCTTGCTGTGTTACCCAGATTGGTCTGCAGTGAAGTTTTATATATTTTTTGATGATTTATTGCTTGGCAAAATATTCTACTTTTTTGACAATGTTAGTTGTTTGTTCTTTTGGGTTTTTTTTTCCATAATGACAATATTACTCATTCAAGTAAGTAATAGGCTTTATGATGCTTCCTGTGAAATCTTTATTGTTTAGTGAAAATTTATGGACATTTTCTGGTGAATTTATCTTGCAATCAGAAGCTGCTTATGGTGGAAAAGTATCTTTGCTCAGTAATATTCTCAGACCACCAAATATCTGTTTCTAACACAGAAATTCCTGGAATCTGAGCCACTGAAAAATTACTAGCAAGTCTCTGCTTCTTGGTATCTATGTTAACCAAAGTGTGTGTAGAATAGAACAGCAGTTCCTAGTGAACCTGCACCACCCCTGCTGACAACTGCAGGAGGCCTTATTCATCACTGTCCTCCACCGTCTCACTTTCCCAGGGCCGTAAGGGTATAACACCTAGTGCACATTTTCTTATGGTGTCTTGGGCCGTGATTGTCTCTCCGCAGGTATTTAGTCATGGATTCATAGCAGATAATTGACTGTGAGTTTTTACTACAGTCAGCAATTTTCTTTTTCTTACAGAAGCTTTGTCTTCATTCTATTTGGTGTTGCATTCAAATGATGCTTATCATCTTTCAGTGCTCTGCATTTATAGATGGTGGGATTCTTATGTTTCTCTTTTTACTTAAGTGTTATCCCTAGTAACTTTTACACTTTCTATTTCATTCAAAATTAGATATGAATATAACCTTTTGTGTTTTTCTAATTCATTAGAAAATTATTTTGTGTTTTTCTAATATCTTTACCATAAACAATTTAACACAAATGCTTAATTATTTCCTCTATTGAGTCATATTAAAAGGTACTTTGGAATGCTATTAAAGGGATATTTGGCATTTTTGCTGCTTCCACATCAAGAAATAGAGTGTAGCACAAAACAAAAATGAAATAAAATATTGCACATATGAAATACATCCATGGCCTGTGTGGAGATTTGGGGGACTCTGAGATCACTTTAAGTACCCTACTTCCCTGGAGGTTCTATCCTGGGTTCATGTATTCTCAGTGGTGACAAAGTCTAGGGTTGCAGCCTGCACAAGATGTTATCTGAGTTGTTTCTGAAAACATTAATATAAATGCCACTGTCAGACTTGCTAATTGGATGCATGTTGATAATCCAGTGAAGGAAAAGGAACAGATAGCACCATCTCTGAGCTTGGAGTTCCTGTTCCAGTGGAGGAAACCTCTTACTAAGCAAGTGAACTTTGTGGATTAGGGTAGGGGTGGGCTGCAGAAATGGGATTCCACCCAGGAAACATTAAATGAATGGCTTACGGGGATGAGATCAACAGGGAGGGTATCGCTCAGGATGGTGAGTGAGGGAGGCTAGGAGGTGGCTCTGCTGCTGCAGATATACTATCTTCTAACTGAGTCCATTTGGACCAAGCTAATACAAACTTTGCTATATGCTGGCACAGCTCAATGAGAAAAATTGTCAGATGATTCTTTGGGAAAGCTTAGGCAAACCAGAGGATCACGGTGCTGTGCAATGCTCTTAATCCCTCAACAATTATTTGCTTAATTGAGCTTTTCCCCATTACTAAGTTCTAATCATATAAAACATCCTAGGCAAATGCCAATGAAGACAGAAACACATGTCTGAAAAGAGTTTAAAATTGTTATGGCACACAGAATAATGGCATTTTCCATCTAACATATCGTCTGTGTTAATAAGGTTCAAAGACCTTTAATTCTGAAATCACTAAGAGATAGATAATGGACAAGTTTGTTTTACATGTAAGTCAAGAAGGGGTTAGATTATGGCTAATCCCTTCAAAGTCTGTTCTTGAATAAAAAAATTGAACCAGAAAGAATTTAAGTACAGTACAATACTAAGAAGAGAAAGCCATTCTAACTCGTTTCTTTTGGTTGTGTTTGTAAATGTTCATATACATCAACTAAGTCAAACTGGAAGGGAGACCGTGCAGTAGATACCAGCAAAATCCTTTGCCAAATAATCACTAGAAATATGGTAGCTTGCAAACTAAACATGCTCAAAGTAGCAGGAAATGATGAGAACTGAGGTTGTCTGATTAAATCTAACTGTGTGGATTCCAGTAGAATTGCAGATGTAGGAGTAGGTACATTAGCAGATAGACTTGCCAAGCTCAGCTTGAAAAATAGAGAAATAAAAGCTGGGACCACAATATGAAAAGAGTCTCTCTTTGATGACATGCTACCCAAGGAGAATAGTTATTGGGAGGTGGATAGAGGATAGAATAGATTAGAATTAGAATATGGTGGAGGCATGAAGGATTAGATGATTCTTTGCATAGTTAAAGGAATGCATAACAAATACTTTGTTGAGCTATCAGGTAGAGCAATGTTAATGCTAGGGCAGTCCTCTACAGCTTAGTTGTCCATGAGCTGACTTAAGATAGCAGAGCTTGCCACTGTGTCTGCCACTCTACTGGAATAAGCTATGACAGTACAATATAATTAGAAAATACTGTTTTTGAAAAACAACAAATACTTTCTTTTGTATATGGATGGGCTCCAAATATTTTTACTGAGCAGTGGTGGAATGTTAATTTAGGCCCATTTTCAAGCAGCCATAAAATAAAATTATTAAAAAATATTTTAATACACCTTCAAAACTAATGTCAGAATTGGATGCATGAAGCCCATGTAGGCTGCCAAGTGGAACCCAGCATAAGGCCGAACACTGATGAGCTGTTTTCAATTCTTATTTCTTTCAGCAACCTTAAGAATTAGACACTATTATTATCTACTTAATTTTATAGGTAAAGAAAATGATGCCTTAAAAAGTGAAGCTACTTTCATAAGTCATTCAGTTAGTCAGACAAAGAATCTTGGAACTCAAGTTCAGGCCTATCAGACTCTAGAGCCTGAATCCTTTCCTATACTCTACTGCTCTCCAGTAGACATCTAAACATAGGTCACTTAGATATTCCAGCACCATGATGTTATGGAAAAAAATTAAAATGAGAAGTTTGGCAGAGAGAATAACATTCACCCAAAGATGATCACATCCTAATTCCCATAACCTGTAAATATGTTATCTGACATGGCAAAGGAACTTTGCAGATTTGATTAAATTTAGTATCTTGATATGGGTAGATTACACTGAATTATCTGGCTAGGCCCAGTGTAATAACAGAGGTTCTTATAACATATTATAACCTTATAATAGGACATAATGATACCAATGATACCAAGATCATCAAAACAGGAAAAGGAGATGTAAAGACAGAAGCAAACATTGGAGTGATGGCTTTGAAGATAATGGAAGAGGCCATGAGTCAAGGAATATAGGTGGCCTCTAGAATCTGGCAATGAGAAGGAAACAGATTCTCCTAGGAATTCCAGATGGGACTCAGCCCTGCCCAAACCTTGATCTTAGCCCAGTGAGACCCATGATGGACTTCTAACCTATAGACTCTAAGAATAAATTTGTGTGACCATGAATTTCTAAATTTGTTTGACCATGAATTTCTAAATTTGTTTTAGTTATACCAGGAACAAGAAACAAATACAGGAAAATTCACGGAAATTAAACATAAAAGAGCTCCATAGAAAAAAGTCCAGGTCAAATTTGTACTAATGGCATTTCAATGGCAATGCATTGAGAAAAATATTCTTGGATTTCATAATCTCTGAGAATTAGGTCAGATAGAATATAATCTGAAAAGATCATGATTTACCATTACCACATGTAACTGGGTTGTTGAGATTTATCCAATCAGAAGAAATAAACCAGTGCTTAGCCAGCAAATGCCAGAGACCTGTGCCCTAACCTGGATTCTTCGAAGATGCTTTGTTATTTAAATAAATCGATAAATTTTACATGTACATATGATAGCCAGCTAAAGACATAATAGAAGAGAACCCACATTTAGCAACCAAAAAAGATAGAACCCCCATAGCAACAGAAAAAGGATAAAATACTTAAGAATTAACTAAGGAATAAATGCTCAAATCCTATTTGAAAAAAATCTATAAGCATTCCCAAAAGACACAAAAATAGACTTGAATGAAACAATATTGCTTATTTTTCCTTGAGACTTCTCAACATCAAGATATCCATTCGCTTGAAATTAATTTATAAAATTGATAGGAGGATCCCAATGAAAAACACCAATAAACTGCCTTTAAAACTAGACAAATTGATACTAAAGTTCATATAGAAAAAAAAAAACATGCAAGTATAACTAGGGAAACACTAAAAGGGAAGAGTTTTAAGTGGCAAGACTAGCCCTCCATATATCTAAACATATTACAAAGCCTTGATAATTAAAACTGCTGGGTAATGGTGTGTGAATAAACAGAAAAATCAATGACAAGGATAGAAAGTTTAGAAAGAGATGAGACTATATGGTAATCTAGAATATAACAATACGTTGTAGATAGAACTATATGGAATAGATGGAATTATATGGAAATAGATGGAACATGAGGTAATATATAATACAATATGACAATGGTGGTTTCTGAGATAACAGGGGCAAAGATAGAATTTTTAAATTATGATGGTGGAAAAACTAGAAAACCATTTGGGAAAAGATAAAGTTAGATTCACTTCTCACAAAATCCACAGGAATAAGTTCCAAATGAATTGAAGGTCTAAATGTAAGTAATAAAACTATACAAGAATAGACGAAAGCATAGTGAATTCCTCTATAATTTGGGTGTGAGGTTGATATAGTATAGTTTTGTTCATCCTTTTACTATCAATATTTCTGTTATTTTAGATGCTCCTCTTAATTTCAATGTACATACTATTATTAATATATTAAGTTATATTTTAGTATGATGTAAATACATATTCACACATATGTATGTTAATTTTGTCACCTTAGTCTGTAGTTTTTAATGCTTCCTTGAGATCTATTACCTTAGCTCGCTATGACACAGCATCAATTATTCTATCTCTGTTTGTTTTTGTTTTTGTTTTGCAGATGGTGTGACTTAGATCAATAGACTCAATATTTGCTTAATGCCCCGAATATTTTTTTCTATTAGGAGTTTCAATAAATTTTTGGTTTTGTTTATTGGATTGTTTACTTCAGCAACTCCAGTGATGTTTAGGTTAGATTGTATCTAATTGTTTTAATATCTTAATCCTTTTTTCCTCCATATTCATTGAGATTATTTTAAATATTTCCTAGGTGCCAATTTTAAAAATTCAGTTTTAAGCTCTGTGAATTATGTTACAATCTATTTCTAATTAATTATATTTTCTGTAATGTGGTGTTTGAATTATTGGTTTGTTTCCTTAACTCTAAAAATTCTCTTTTCATCTTATTCTGTTGTTTGAATAGCTTGTCTACGAGGTCTTTCATCAGGCCTGTTTGTAAGAGGACTTCTTAAGATCTGTTGTCTGCCTTTTGCATATGATGCCCCTTCTGTTTCTCATCAATTATTACAATTCATCATCATCATCTCTTTCTACAATGTATTTGCAAACTTTTTTCCAACAATTTTCATGTTTAAGGTGAGTAGCTCTGCCCATTTCTTTTTTGCTTTGTGCTGATATAATGTGGGTAAACTCTCTTCCACTCCCTTTCAATTTTGACTGGGAATTGCTTGTCTTTTCCTTTGAAGGTGTAGTTCAGATGGAATTTTTCTGTATCCTAGAGACCAGAAGAGAGGAAAAGAGTCATCAGTTTGAGAAAAACCTCAGCCAGGGTTTTGTGCAGCCGTGGTTTGCAGCGTGTCCTGTCTTCTCATCTCAGATTTTGTTAAACTCTCTTTTCTGCCAAATCCCACAGATGATTTAGTAGAGGAGTATCACCACAGAAATGCTTTATCCATTAAGTTTTCCAATGCTTCTTGTAAAGGGTTGAGGCATAAAATTGTTATTTTTATTCAAAGAATAAATAGAAGACTGAATGATCAAAGTAATGATTTGTTAATGGATGTCTATAAAATATTACACTCCGCCAAATGTTTTCGCTGTTAAATTTGATATTAGTAGGAAAAAAGTCCATTATTCTTGAAAGGATTGTATGTTCAGTTTTCTTACTTTGCAAGAGTTCTTGAGCTTACATTGTAATTGAAACAATCACTGCAATTTTTAAGAAACTGCTTGAAGCAAAAATAGTTTTAAAAACAAAATTATAAATAATTTTTTAAAAATATGATCAAAATGTATATTTAATGGGTAATGTAAGTGAATTTTAATATGTGTTATACTGTAAAGATTCCAAAAGTAAGAGTGCCTAAGAACTATAAGCACCATGAAGTATTTCTGCATTCTTGGGCTGCAGGTATTTTGCCAGTTCAGTCATGGAGCCCTGGGTCATCTGCTTTAGGCAGAGAGTTACTTGGTATCATTTCCTACCCGTTTTCACTTTTTTTCATACATGAAGCTATCTCTACATTTTCCCAAGCAAAATAGGAAAATCAATGGTAAAAGTAGTGGTGATAGATACGTACCATATTTATGATGGCCCCAGGTCTTTTGAAAGCCTCTCCTATAGTTTGGTAATTCCCCACATTTGAGAGTCCTGTCTCCTCTAAGTTGGAGATGGAAATTAATTTTTCTAATCTTCATGTATCCAGGGCACTGGAACGTGAGCCCAGTTACTGCTGATTGTACCCACCACCCCAGACTTCAAGAATTGATAATGGAGGCTTTTCCTGAAATATGTGCTATTTCCCCATCTTTTGCATGCTGGTGAAGAAAAAGTTCAATGTGCAATCGGTTTTGCTGTTCTGGAGGACAGTGGAGCACGGTGGAGACATGAGGCATTCAGATGCCGTAATGGCAGAGGTCCCCTGATGCAGTCTATGGGGTGCTCCACAGTGCCAGGACACAGTTGATGGAGAGGATCCTCCTTGCAAGCAGTTCAGTGAGGTTCTTAGGTGTTGATCCAGGCTGCATTGCCACCAGTCTGACTGTCTGGCTCCCTTGGAGTTGCTGTGGGTTTCCCTTAGTAAATAATTTTTTCCCTTAAACTAGCCAGAGGGCCTGACTATGCTCAGACTTTTGCCTTTGTGGGAAGAGGCTACAGTGTGGGAAGGGCCAGCTCCTCCAGGTTCTCATGCCACTTTCTCCACCGGCTGCTTCTAATTTATTTCCTCTTTGTGTTCTCTTTGGCTGGCATTACTCTTCATTGCTCTAGACAATTGGCTCTAGGTTAGGGCTGTCGGATTTAGAAAATAAAAATACAGGGTGTAACACATATTGTATGATTCAATTGTTTGAAACGTTCGGATAGGCAAATGTATAGAGACAAAACACAGATTTGTGGTACAAGACACAGATTAGTGGCACAAATGTAGATCAGGGTTTTCCGAGGGCCAGGGGTGGGCACGGGGAGTGACTGTTAATGGGTATTATTTTCCTTTAGAGCCGATGAAAATGTTCTAACCATAGATTGTGGCAATGGTTGCACAACCGTAAATATATGAAAAATCATTAAATTGTACAGGGGTACAAGTTCACAAGTTCAGGGGTAGAAGGGCAGGTTTGTTACATAGGTAAACTTGTGTCACGAGCATTTGTTGTGCAGATTATTTCATCACTCAGGTATTAAGCCTAGAACCCATTAGTTATTTTTCTTGATCCTCTCCCTTCTCCCACCCTTCACCCTTCAAAAGGCCCCAGTGTGTGTTGTTCCCTTCTATGTGTCCATGTGTTCTTACCATTTATCTCCCACTTATGAGAACATGCTATATTTGGTTTTCTGTTCTGTTAGTTTACTAAGGATAATGGCCTCCAGCTCCAGCCATATCTCTGCAAAGAACAAAGTCTCATTATTTTTATGGCTGCATAGTATTTCATGATATATATGTACCACATTTTCTTTACCCAGTCTATCATTGACGGGCAGTTAGGTTGATTCTATGTCTTTGCTATTGTGAATAGTGCTGCAATCAACATTCACATGCTTGGGTCTTTATAACAGAATGATTTATATTCCTTTGGATATGTACCCAGTAATGAGGATTGCTGGGTCAAATGCTATTTCTGTCTTTAGGTCTTTGAGGAATTGCCACACTGTCTTCCACAATGGGTGAACTAATTTACACTCCCAACAACAGTGTATAAGCGTTCCATTTTCTCTAGAACCTCGAAAGCATCTGTTATTTTTTGGCTTTTGAATAATAGCCATTCTGACTACTGTTAGATAGTATAATACAGTAAAGATATCAAAGGTATAGAGCCTAGTTAAATTTAAATTTTAGATAAAAAATAATTTTAGTATGTTTTACTAAATATTTGGGATATACTTGTACTAAAAAATTATTTGTTGTATATCTGAAATTCAAATTTAACGGGGTATACTGTATTTTCTCTGACAAACCTCATCTAGATATTTATGGTATTCTTACTTTCCCACTTCACTTGAAGCAAAGATCACCAGAATGGTAAACCCCAGAAAACATTCTGTTTATTTTTTACTTCTATTTTCTAAATGTCAGGTTCTTGGCTGCACCAAATGAAACTGTGTGGATTCTTGGAAACGTATGTCTCATTCTTTCAGTTCCACCAATCTTCTTTTTGTACAGTTGTTTTAATTCCCTGAGAATATGCAATTTAACCCATCTTCATCTGTTATTGCACTGACTCTCTCCACCTTTCTCAGTATTGGTATGTGTAGGGCTAAAATGTGAAGCTAGAAAAAAATGTGATTGCTACAATCAGAATATCTTCTCAGGAAAACTTCTTATCCGTAACATTAGTAATTCTTGCACGCCAAGTGGGAAATAATTGCAGAGATACTTCAGTTACAGAATGAAAATCTACAGTGGAGGTACATGAGGCAGTTGCACAGTTCCTCCTAAGTTTAATGGGAGGTGACAGTCTCCACTTCCTGATGGAGAAGTGGCAAGGTCCTTTTGAAAAAAAGAATAAGTGGTATAGGAGAAATTGTTAAGACCTTCTTTGGAAAATACAACCTGATATACTATATTGAGTCGTCAATCTTTTTGTATGAAGCCAAGTCTTTTCAGTTAAATATGGATTCACTAATTGAAATTCCTTATTGTTTCCCTTACATAAACCATGCCAATGCATGGCCTACAATTTTAAGTCTCTTTAAAGCAGGATGAGAACCTAAGTGATTTTGGAAGTAATCTGAGTTCAGGATGCATTTACATTTTTACAATTTTCCCTAGTCTTTTGCAAGTGTCTTATTCACACCAAAACTGACAGTAATTTTGTTAGCAGCTCACTTTTACTAAGTCATTCATCAAAGAAACATATATTTCCCTGAACTACTATATCATCAATTTATGTAATAATTAGATAACAGAATGACAATAATAAGCACAACTTGCATACTGGGAACAAATCAACTTGAAACTTGGCAAACCTGCAGCTCACCCAGTGGAAACAAGAGTGTCCCATGTGCTGGAGTCTCCTGAGAAGGGAGTGTGATCTGGGTATCAGTCAACATGTTTAAAGAGAAACTGGATGTGCTAAAAAACACTCAACTGAGTATTAATTTATCCTAAATTTCTTAATTTGATGTGAATAGATAATATAAACATAGATAAAACATGAACATATACATATATTGTACATATTCCAATCCAAATGCCAGCACCTTTGTTAAGGGGAAATCAGCAGAAGATTTCCTACTCAATTCAGAAGCAAAACAAAGATGCCCTGTCTCCACCATTATTTAACAGCATATTGAATGTTTCAGCCAATGCAATTAAAAAAGAAAAAAGCAACTAGTGGTGTAAGAATTGGATATGAATAATAAATATCTCTGTAGATAATATGTTTATATACCAGAAAAACCCAAAAGAATAAATATGTGGAAAAACTACTATGAGCATTATGGGAGTTTAGTAAACAAAATAAAAAACAACTTATAAAAATAAGTTCCAAATACATAGATAAATATCACTTAGGTGATATAATTTAAAGAAACAGTATTTAGGAATGCCAATAAGTTTGATTAATAAGTTAATTAATTATACTACCCATGCGTAAAATTGACCAGAAATATTTAAAACATATAAGGAATTATATAGAATATCCATAAAAGAGATAAAAGTAGACTTAAAGTAGAAAACCATGCCTCATTTTCAGATAGAAGACTTAGCTTCATAAATGTATCAGATTTTTTTCTGAGTTAATTTAGAAATTAACTGTATCTCTCTAAATAATTATTAAGTTGTTCTTTTTCTGGAGCTAAACAAAGTTGATTATAAAGTTCACTGGAGGAATAAATAAGTAAGAATATCTAGGAAACCTCTGAAAAAAGAAGTAATGTCCAGAGCTAGCCCCACAAAATATTTAAAACATATTATGTAGTGCAACACTGGGACATAAATAGACAGATGAGTGGGAGAAAAAAACTCCAGAATTGTGTATTTTTAATTGGTATATGAGAGAAGTGGCATCTCAAATCAGAGAGGGAAGGGATGGGCTCTTTAATAAGTAGTGATGAGATAACTGAATAATCACCGAGAAAGAGGTAAGATTGGATTTACTCCTCATCCTGTGTGCCAGGAGAAACTCTAAAATCATCAGACATGTTAAACATAAAATAATTTTAAATAAAACCATAATAAGTAATTAAGAACAAGAGATAGGTAAATGTCTTCATTCTGTATTAGTGGGAAAAACTTTTCTAGCTATGACTCCAAATCCAATAGAATAAACAATAATGAAAAAGATGAATTTGATTACTTAAAATTTTTTAAATTTTTGCATGACAGAAAAGTAAAAAGACAAATAACAAACATTGGCAACTTATATGACATAAGGATAATAGACCTAATGTTGGGCTCAACCATGCACAACTACCAATATTCAACTATTTTGATGTAGAAAAGTGGTAATTTTATATTGATTAACCTAATATATAAAGAACATCTTAAAAAGAGAATAAGAATTTCAACAGCCCTATAGAAAAATGGCCTAAAACTATAAATAAATATAATAATTTGTACATTTTATGCAAACTATATAGTTCTGAAAAAATAAATGCAAATAACCCTTAATCCATATGAAAATTGTTCAATCTCACTCATTGTAAATATATATATATACTAAACTATAGTGGAATACAATTTTTCACCTATTATATTGGCAAAAATCCCGAAGTTGAGAGCATGTGCTGTTGTTGAGGTTGTGAGGAATAGGCACTGTTATGGGTTGGTGGTGGAGATGCAAATTACACAACCCCCCTGGGGAGGAAATTGATAATATCTAGCATAATTACACATGCATTTGTCCTTTGACTCAGCAATCCCACTTCTAGGCATGTTTGAGAGTTCATTATTCTCAAAATATTCTCTCCACTTTTAAATATAAAATTTTCCATAATAAAATGTTGATAAAAATACAAATAAAAGGAGGGAATGAAGGGTGTTAATTGAACCAATCAAATTGGTTAAATGGAGGCCAGTTAAGAGTGTTTCCACTCCACTTTGATGCAAAGTAGTCTGGGTACTAAGTAGGTGAACAGCAGCATCTATAGCTGACAAGGAGTGGGCCAGTCTGATGGGTAGAAAAGGTCATGTCACAAAAACCATCCTTTCCTCTCCAGCAAAAGGTTCAGCTTTTAGTAATTCAGGGTCTGAGTGTAATTTTATCCACTACTCTTAACAAAGCTATCTTCCACCTCTCCTCTGCAGTTAATAATATTGTGTCCATCCAGGAAAATGACTTTGTAGATGCCTTCAGAATTGGCTTTGTCACAGTCCACTGCTCTTTCTGAACTGGTAGAAGTCTCTAAGAGTGCTATTTATCTCTGCACAGCAATTTTTTTATAGAAGCAGGTGACTTGGTTCCAATTCTAGTCTAGGGTTGGGATCAGTCTGTGGGGAGAAATGCACTGCCTTAGGGTGCTTAAAAATCCCAAATCAATCTGCATAGATGACAGATATGAGTATGCAAAATCAAGGGCACCAAAACAATGATATTCTTTAATTTTTTTCAATAACAAAGCAATTTCTTTTAGGAAGCCCCATTCTGCTGGGTGGTTGAAACTTAACTTCAATCCATTCACTGTCCCCGTTCCTTTCCCCTGGGCTATGCAAAAGCCTCAGGCGCTTACCCAGGTCAAGGTATGAGGAAAGCAGGGCTATTGTCAAACTAGGTTCATCTGTCCATCATGTTGGCATGCCCCAAGATACTCTCCCTGACACATGCGGGCCTCTGCTGTGCGTCCTCAGCATGGTCTGTCTCAGGCTGCTGGTTCTGTCTGCCAAATTCATACTTAGTTACAATACTAAATACTAAATATGCTGACATCACTGTACCACCCTTGACAGATAGATGCAAGGCCTTAGGAATTTAGCTGAAATACACCTGCCTAGACATATTTCTACCTTCATTCTTGTTCCTTTTCCAAAATCTGCCCAAAGAAAGGAGTAGGCATGAGAAAAAGGTCCCCTTCATGCATGGGATCACCAAATATACCTGGGATTTGTGTTGTCCCTCCCAACACTACCACCCACAGAGTCTCCTTTCTCAGAGACACATGATTTTCCCTCTTAATTCCATTCAGATTTCTATTTCTCCCTGAAAACTCTTGAAATCATTATCTAAATAGAGAGGTAGCTGTGAAGCCTTTTCCTACTCACCAGGAAGTCTTCTAAAGACATGTACTATAACTCTGTATTTCAAATATGTAAGTGTAGGATTTGTTTCCAAACTTAGATCACCTAAGACATAAAATATAATATATATCATATATATTTATATATAATATGTAAATCACATATATGATTTATACATTTGATATAGCTGATTGAAGAAATGTGGTTTAGATGTGTGGCCAAAATGATCTCCCTGGGAATTTCCCTAAATTATATAGTCTTGCATAGTTTACTGGCATAGTTTACAACCATAGGTTTTCTCCACAAAGGAAAGACCTCTAACCACAGGACGGAGGGCAGAACTGATTGCTGGCAATCTGCAGAAAAACCAACACCTCAAACAGAGAGAGATCAACAAGATTGCTTCTTCCAAACTCACCAATCAGATAATCCACTTCTTCAGCCATGGGAAAGAATGAGCAAAGAATGTGTAAAGGCTTTGAATATTACTGGGATAGAATTTGTTTCATATGAAAGCATAAGGCCAGGGAAATAGAGAGTCTCTTTTAACTATAGAACTCAGAGGGGAGGCCGGGTGTGGTGGCTCATGCCTCTAATCCCAGCACTTTGGGAGGCCAAGGTGGGTGGATCACGAGGTCAGGAGTTCAAGACCAGCCTGGCCAAGATGATGAAACCCCATCTCTACTACAAATACAAAAATTAGCTGGGCACGGTGGAGGACACTTGTAATCCCAGCTGCTCAGGAGGCTGAGGCAGGAGAATAGCTTGAACCTGGGAGGCAGAGGTTGCAGTGAGCCAAGATCACGCCACTGCATTGTAGCCTGGGTGACACAGCAAGACTCCATCTCAAAAAAAAAAAAAAAAAAAAAAAAAAAGCAATTCAGAGAGGGAAGAAAATAAAGCTGAAGAAAAATATACATTAGGAGTCTATTTTTATACCTACATATAAATATGTAAAACATATAGAAAGATATCACTAGGTTGCCTTTAGGGAATATAGGAGAGAGAATAAGACTGCAGAATATCAGTTATATTTGTGAGGTTCTGAATTTGTTTTTTTCTAAGGGAGGAATATGAAAAATGTTAGTGATTTTTAATTTGGGAGGTAGAAATATAAATTTCTTTTTAATATATTATCCAAGATTCGTATAAGAGTGACAGTCCAGATACCAAGCCATACACATACTAGTATAATATAATATAATATAATATTGGCTTATATAAGTATTGTGTTATTATAAAAGCATAATACTGTATTATATTATACAATATTATTTATGATGTATGTACTGTATAGTATGATACATATTATATAATATGATATGTATGACATGATATAATACATATAAAATATACAGTATGAATAAGTATATAACAATATATAAATATCAGATTAAGTGTTTTACAGCTTATTTCAAATGCAAAGAGCTGGAAAGATAGAAGTTTTTTTCAGGCCAAAGATTTGTATAGGGAGAAACCCAGTGAAGTAAGCAGAAATGAACACATTTCAACTTCAAGAGAATTTTCCCAACCTTATAAACTTACTTTTTCTCAGCCTTGTTGAATTGTAAGAAAATAAAGTCTAAGGTCCAAGGCAACTAGTTTAGTAGCAGAATTCCTTTGCCTTAAAGTTGAAACGCAAAGTGTTGTACCCTCAGTGTGAAAATGAACTAAAAGTAAACTTTCCTACCACCTTCAAACCCCATAGAACTACCAGGAATGTTGGCCTTGGTAAAGAGCAAAGCAGAACAAAAAAATGTGCCTCAGAAGCTGTCATCACAAATCAGCCCTTGCTCACATCTGCAGCCCAAGTCTACAATATGGGGCGATGTAAAAAACCTCAAGTCATGCATTCAATTTAAAATGGTCATTTTGGGTTCCAAGATGGCTGAATAGGAACAGCTCCAGTCTACAGCTCCCAGCATGAGCGACGCAGAAGACGGGTGATTTCTGCATTTCCAACTGAGGTACCAGGTTCATTTCACTGGGGATTGTTAGACAGTGGGTGCAGGACAGTGGGTGCAGCGCAACGAGCATGAGCCGAAGCAGGGCAAGGCATCATCTCACCCGGGAAGTACAAGGGGTCAGGGAATTCCCTTTCCTAGCCAAGGGAAGGGGGGACAAACGGCACCTGGAAAATCGGGTCACTCCCACCCTAATACTGCACTTTTCTGACAGTCTTAGCAAACGGCACACCAGGAGATTATATCCCATGCCTGGCTCAGAGGGTCCTACACCCATGGAGCCTCGCTCATTGCTAGCACAGCAGTCTGAGATCGAACTGCAATGCCGCATTGAGGCTGGGGGAGGAGCACCTGACATTGCTGAGGCTTGAGTAGGTAAACAAAGCTGCCAGGAAGCTCGAACTGGGTGGAGCCCACCACAGCTCAAGGAGGCCTGCCTGCCTCTGTAGACTCCACCTCTGGAGGCAGGGCACAGCCAAACAAAAGGCAGCAGAAACCTGTGCAGACTTAAATGTCCCTGTCTGACAGCTTTGAAGAGAGTAGTGGTTCTCCCAGCATGCAGCTTGACATCTGAGAATGGACAGACTGCCTCCTCAAGTGGGTCCTTGACCCCTGAGTAGCCTAACTGGGAGGCACCCCCCAGTAGGGGCAGACTGACAACTCATACAGCCGGGTACCCCTCTGAGATGAAACTTCCAGAGGAACAATCAGGCAGCAACATTTGCTGTTCACCAATATTCGCTGTTCTGCAGCCTCTGCTGCTGATACCCAGGCAAACAGGGTCTGGAGTGGACCTCCAGCAAATGCCAGCAGACCTGCAGCTGAGGGTCCTGACTGTTAGAAGGAAAACTAACAAACAGAAAGGACATTCACACCAAAACCCCATCTGTATGTCACCATCATCAAAGACCGAAGGTAGATAAAACCACAAAGATGGGGAAAAAACAGAGCAGAAAAACTGAAAATTCTAAAAATCAGAGCACCTCTCCTCCTCCAAAGGAACACAGCTCCTCACTAGCAATGGAACAAAGCTGGATGGAGAATGAGTTTGACGAGTTGAGAGAAGAAGGCTACAGATGATCAAACTTCTCCAAGCTAAAGGAGGAAGTTCGAACCCAACACAAAGAAGTTAAAAACCTTGAAAAAAGATTAGACGAATGGCTAACTGGAATAACCAATGCAGAGACATCCTTAAAGGACCTCATGGAGCTGAAAACCATGGCACGAGAACTACGTGACGAATGCACAAGCTTCAGTAGCCTAATCGATCAACTGGAAGAAAGGGTATCAGTGATGGACGATCAAATGAATGAAATGAAGCGAGAAGAGAAGTTTAGAGAAAAAAGTAATAAAAAGAAATGAACAAAGCCTCCAAGAAATGTGGGACTATGTGAAAAGACCAAATCTACGTCTGATTGGTATACTTGAAAGTGAAGGGGAGAATGGAACCGAGTTGGAAAACACTCTGCAGGATGTTATCCAGGAGAACTTCCCCAACCTAGCAATGCAGGCCAACATTCAAATTCAGGAAATACAGAGAATGCCACAAAGATACTCCTTGAGAAGAGCAACTCCAAGACACATAATTATCAGATTCACCAAAGTTGAAATGAAGGAAAAAATGTTAAGGGCAGCCAGAGAGAAAGGTCGGGTTACCCACAAAGGGAAGCCCATCAGACTAATAGCGGATCTCTCGGCAGAAACTCTACAAGCCAGAAGAGAGAGGGGGTCAATATTCAACATTCTTAAAGACAAGAATTTTCAACCCAGAATTTCATATCCAGCCAAACTAAGCTTCATAAGCAAAGGAGAAATAAAATCCTTTACAGACAAGCAAATGCTGAGAGATTTTGTCACCACCAGGCCTGTGCTACAAGAGCTCCTGAAGGAAGCACTAAACATGGAAAGGAACAACCAGTACCAGCCACTGCAAAAACATGCCAAATTGTAAAGACCATCGATGCTAGGAAGAAACTGCATCAACTAATGAGCAAAATAACCAGCTAACATCATAATGACAGGATCAAATTCACACATAGCTATATTAACCTTAAATGTAAATGGGCTAAATGCTCCAATTAAAAGACACAGACTGGCAAATTGGATAAAGAGTCAAGACCCATCAGTGTGCTGTATTCAGGAAACCCATCTCATGTGCAGAGACACACATAGGCTCAAAATAAAGGGATGGAGGAAAATGTATTAAGCAAATGGAAAGCAAAAAAAGGCAGGGGTTGCAATCCTAGTCTCTGATAAAACAGACTTTAAACCAACAAAGATCAAAAGAGACAAAGAAGACCATTACATAATGGTAAAGGGATCAATTCAACAAGAAGAGCTAACTATCTTAAATATATATGCACCCAATACAGGAGCACCCAGATTCATAAAGCAAGTCCTTAGAGACCTACAAAGAGACTTAGACTCCCACACAATAATAATGGGAGACTTTAACACCCCACTGTCAACATTAGACAGATCCACAAGACAGAAAGTTAACAAGGATATCCAGGAATTGAACTCAGCTCTGCACCAAGCGGACCTAATAGACATCTACGGAACTCTACACCCCAAATCAACAGAATATACATTCTTCTCAGCACCACACTGCACTTACTCCAAAATTGACCACATAGTTGGAAGTAAGGCACTCCTCAGCAAATGTAAAAGAGCAGAAATTATAACAAACTGCCTCTCAGACCACAGTGCAATCAAACTAGAACTCAGGATTAAGAAACTCACTCAAAACCACTCAACTACGTGGAAACTGAACAACCTGCTCCTGAACGACTACTGGGTACATAACGAAATGAAGGCAGAAATAAAGGTTCTTTGAAACCAACGAGAACAAAGACACAACATACCAGAATCTCTGGGACACATTTAAAGCAGTGTGTAGAGGGAAATTTATAGCACTAAATGCCCACAAGAGAAAGCAGGAAAGATCCAAAATTGACACCCTAACATCACAATTAAAAAAACTAGAGAAGCAAGAGCAAACACTTTCAAAAGCTATCAGAAGGCAAGAAATAACTAAGATCAGAGCAGAACTGAAGGAGATAGAGACACGAAAAACCCTTCAAAAAATCAATGAATCCAGGAGCTGGTTTTTTGAAAGGATCAACAAAATTGATAGACCGCTAGCAGATTAATAAAGAAGAAAAGAGAGAAGAATCAAATAGATGCAATAAAAAATCATAAAGGGGATATCACCAACGATCCCACAGAAATACAAACTACCATCAACGAATACTACGAACACCTCTATGCAAATAAACTAGAAAATCTAGAAGAAATGGATAAATTCCTCAACACATACACCCTCCCAAAACTAAACCAGGAAGAAGTTGAATCTCTGAATAGACCAATAACAGGCTCTGAAATTGAGGCAATAATTAATAGCTTACCAATCAAAAAAAGTCCAGGATCAGATGGATTCACAGCGGAATTCTACCAGAGGTACAAGGAGGAGCCGGTACCATTCCTTCTGAAACTATTCCAATCAATAGAAAAAGAGGGAATCCTCCCTAACTCATTTTATGAGGCCAGCATCATCCTGATACCAAAGTCTGGCAGAGACACAACAAAAAAAGAGAATTTTAGACCAATATCCCCGATGAACATCGATGCAAAAATCCTCAATAAAATACTGGCAAACCGAATCCAGCAGCACATCAAAAAGCTTATCCACCAAGATCAAGTGGGCTTCATCGCTGGGATGCAAGGCTGGTTCAACATACGCAAATCAGTAAATGTAATCCAGCATATAAACAGAACCAAAGACAAAAACCACACGATTATCTCAATAGATGCAGAAAAGGCCTTTGACAAAATTCAACAACACTTCATGCTAAAAACTCTCAATAAGTGAGGTATTGATGGGATGTATCTCAAAATAATAAGAGCTATTTATGACAAACCCACAGCCAATATCATACTTAATGGGCAAAAACTGGAAGCATTCCCTTGGAAAACTGGCACAAGACAGGGATGCCCTCTCTCACCACTCCTATTCAACATAGTGTTGGAAGTTCTGCCCAGGGCAATCAGGCAGGAGAAAGAAATAAAGGGTATTCAATTAGGAAAAGAGGAAGTCAAATTGTCCCTGTTTGCAGATGACATGATTGTATATCTAGAAAACCCCATCATCTCAGCCCAAAATCTCCTTAAGCTGATAGGCAACTTCAGCAAAGTCTCAGGATACAAAATCAATGTGCAAAAATCACAAGCATTCTTATACCCCAATAACAGACAAACAGAGAGCCAAATCATGAGTGACCTCCCATTCACAATTGCTTAAAAGAGAATAAAATACCTAGGAATCCACCTTACAAGGGATGCGAAGGACCTCTTCAAGGAGAACTACAAACCACTGCTCAATAAAATAAAAGAGGATACAAACAAATGGAAGATCATTCCATGCTCATGGATAGGAAGAATCAATATTGTGAAAATGGCCATACTGCCCAAGGTAATTTATAGATTCAATGCCATCCCCATCAGGCTACCAATGACTTTCATCACAGAATTGGAAAAAACTACTTTAAAGTTCATATGGAACCAAAAAAGAGTCCGCATTGCCAAGTCAATCCTAAGAACAAAGCTGGAGGCATCATGCTACCTGACTTCAAACTATACTACAAGGCTACAGTAACCAAAACAGCACGGTACTGGTACCAAAACAGAGATATAGACCAATGGAACAGAACAGAGCCCTCAGAAATAATACCACAATCTACAACCATCTGATCTTTGACAAACCTGACAAAAACAAGAAATGGGGAAAGGATTCCCTATTTAATAAATGGTGCTGGGAAAACTGGCTAGCCATATATAGAAAGCTGAAACTGGATCCCTTCCTTACACCTTATACAAAAATTAATTCAAGATGGATTAAAGACTTAAACGTTAGACCTAAAACCATAAAAACCCTAGAAGAAAACCTAGGCAATACCATTCAGGACATAGGCACGAGCAAGGACTTCATGTCTAAAACACCAAAAGCAATGGCAACAAAAGCCAGAATTGACAAATGGGATCTAATTAAACTAAAGAGCTTCTGCACAGCAAAAGAAGCTACCATCAGAGTGAACAGGCAACATACAGAACGGGAGAAAATTTTTGCAATCCACTCATCTGACAAAGGGCTAATATCCAGAATCTACAATGAACTCCAACAAATTTATAAGAAAAAAACAAACAACCCCATCAAAAAGTGGGCAAAGGATATGAACAGACACTTCTCAAAAGAAGACATTTATGCAGCCAACAGACACATGAAAAAATGCTCATCATTACTGGCCATCAGAGAAATGCAAATCAAAACCACAATGAGATACCATCTCACACCAGTTAGAATGGTGATCATTAAAAAGTCAGGAAACAACAGGTGCTGGAGAGGATGTGGAGAAATAGGAATACTTTTACACTGTTGGTAGGACTGTAAACTAGTTCAACCATTGTGGAAGTCAGTGTGGCGATTCCTCAGGGATCTAGAACTAGAAATACCATTTTACCCAGCCATCCCATTACTGGGTATATACCCAAAGGATTATAAAACATGCTGCTATAAAGACACATGCACACATATGTTTATTGCGGCAGTATTCACAATAGCAAAGACCTGGAACTAACCCAAATGTCCAACAATGATAGACTGGATTAAGAAAATGTGGCACATATACACCATGGAATACTATGCAGCCATAAAAAATGATGAGTTCATGTCCTTTGTAAGGACGTGGATGAAGCTGGAAACCATCATTCTCAGCAAACTATCACAAGGACAAAAAAACAAACATCGCATGTTCTCACTCATAGGTGGAAATTGAACAATGAGAACACTTGGACACAGGAAGGGGGACATCACACACTGGGGCCTGTCGTGGGGTGGAGAGAGGTGGGAGGGATAGCATTAGGTGATATGCCTAATGTAAATGACGAGTTAATGGGTGCAGCACACCAACATGGCATATGTATACACATGTAACAAACCTGCACGTTGTGCACATGTACCCTACAACTTAAAGTATAATAATAATAAAAAATAAAATAAAAATAGTCCAACTATCTAATTAAAGTAAGCACAACTTTTTTTGGAAAGACTAAACCTCATCCACAACCTGAGAAATATTCCACAAATATGCTTCCCTTCCAAATTAGTGGATCCCAATCAATAATCATTGAGTATATGTGATAGTTAATTTTATGTGTCAACATGATTGGACCGCAGAGTGCCCAGATATTTGGTCAAATATGGTTCTGTATGCTTTTGTGAGGGTGTTTTTGGATACACTTACCATTTGAATTGGTAGATCGGAAAAAGCAGATTGCCTTAACTAGTATGGGTGGGCCTCATTTAGTCCACTGAAGGATTGCATAGAACAAAAAGGCTGACCATTCCCCAAGTAAGAGAGAATTCCTCCTGTCCGACTGCCTTCCAGCTAGGACATTGACATTTTTTTTTTTGAGCCTGCTGCCCTTCAGATGAACAACACCATCAGCCCTTTTTCTCCTGGGTCTCCAACCTGCCAATTCACCCCACACATCTTGGATGGAACTTGTCAGTCTCAATAATCATATGAGCCAATGCCAATTACTTATAATAAATCCCTTTATACACACACACTGTGAATAGATTTCAAAATTTTTTCACCAAAATAACTCATACTGACTTGTTATAAGATGTCTAACTAGAATCTAGTTTGAGACACTAAGAGGGATAAGACATCAGTTCAAAAAGAGTCCCTAGCAGAGCAACATAAATTCTGCTAAAATTGAAAGAAAAGGAAACATCCAATTTATGATGAAGCTTAGGTGAAAGAATGGTGAAATCATTGATGCTTTATGAAAAGTTTAGGGGGACAATGCCTCCAAAGAAATCAGAAGTTTATAAATGGATAACTCATTTTAAGAAAGAATGAGAGAATATTAAAGAAGAAGCCCACATTGGCAGACCATCCACACCAATTTGTGAGGAAAAATTTCATCCTTTTTGTGCCTCAATTGAAGAGGACTGATGATTAACAGCAGAAACAATAGCCCGAACCATAAACATCTTTATTGGTTCAGATTATACAATTCCGACTAAATAATAAAAGTTGGACAAACTTTATACTTAATGGGTGCCAAAACCATTGCACCCTGATCAGCTGCAAATAAAGACAGAGCTTTCAATAGAAATTTTAAACAAGTGGGATCAAGATCTTGAAGATTTTCTTCAAAGAACTATAACAGGAGCTGAAATATGACTTTACCAGTATAATTCTGAAGAGAAAGCACAATCAAAGCAATGACTACCAAGAGGCGGTAGTGATCCAGTCAAAGTAAAAGTGGACTGGCCAAGAGCAGAAGTCATGGCAACAGTTTTTTTTTTTTTTTAGATCCTCAAGGGGTTTTGCTTGTAGACTTTCTGGGGGGCCAAAGACAATACATCTACCTACTATGAGAGTGTTGTGAGAAAGTTAGTCAAAGCTTTAGAAGAAAAGCATCCAGGAAAGCTTTACCAGACAGTCCTTCCCCATCCTGACAATGCTCCTGCTCATTCCTCTCACTAAACAAGGGAAGTTTTGTGAGAGTTTCAATAGAAAATCATTAGTCCTGATTTGGCTTCTTATGATTTATTTTTGTTTCCCAATTAAACAAAAATCTTTAAAATGCACAAATTTTTCTTCAGCTAATAATGTAAAAAAGACTGTACTGACTAAATGGCTGGTATCATCACTTATAAAAATGCCTTAAAGTGGATGGAGCTTATGTTGAGAAATAAAATAATAAAATTCATATTTTTATGTTTACCTTTTAATTCAATTTTCCACAAACTTTTTGAAGTACACACACACACACACACACACACATATATATATACACATATATATGTGTACATCTTATTGGTTCTGTTTTTCTGGAGAACCCTCATACAGTACACAAGTACAAAAAGCATGATATACTAGAAGCAGCAGAAACAGACCTATAAAGATGGCATTTCTTCAAATTATTAGACAAGGGAATGAAAGAACTATTCCTACTATTTCGCTGAGAACAACTACAAAGGACAGATAAAATGGGGGAGGGGGGATGCTTGAAGGTATTAGCGTATTATACAGGATTTGAGTGGCCAAGGTCTCAGAGAAAAAGTAGGTGCATCAATATTGTATACATAAATACATCAATACATCACTTTTCCCTTCAGATCAGTTACAATTTTTTTAAGAACAAGATGAGGACAGGTAGAGGTTAGTGCTAAGAATTAGAGAAGCCAGCAGAGTTTCAGTAACCTCACAAAACTAGGAAACAAAAGTTGGAGTTTGAGACTCAGAAGGCAGCCAGGACGTGAGAGATCAAGAGAAGTGGGGTTCAAAGACATGACACAACACCCAGCAACTTTCCTTTCAATGCCTTTGTTAAATTGTGATGTTGCACAGGGCAAGAAGATAAAAAACCAAGCAAACTTCTGCCTCCATTCAGAAGGAATGAATTAACGGCTTTGAGAATATCTTTCCATCATAAACAACTAGAAAAACAGACAAAACATATGTAGATAAATGTAAAGCAGTGCAGCAGGTAAATATATAATATTTCTAGAAGACAACGTAAGAAAATAACTTTATAACCTTGAAGTAAGAAAAGATTTCTTAAAAGGGATGTGAAATGAACCTGCAAAAAAAAGACTACGTTGCAATTAGGAACTGATTATGAAAATATACCATTAATAGGTCAAAAAGACAAGCCACTTAGTGGAAGAAAATAGTTACAAAAAATATATTTGAAAGAGAACGCATATCAAGAATATAAAAATAACCCATACAAAATAAGAAAAAGCCAAATAGAAAAGTGGGCAAAAGAATTGAATAGGAACTTCACAAAAGAAGATATTCTTATGGCCAATTAACGTGTAATAAAGTGCTCAATCTCATTAGTCTTCAAATAGTGCAAATTAAATCTCCAGTGAGATATCATTCATTATACAACATCAAATGGCTAAAATGAAAAACCGTTACCACCAAATTTTGGTGAAGATGTTAAGCAACTGGAACTCACTTACTGTAGTAAAAGATTTGGGACTATTGTGGTGATTTTGTAGCATATCAACCTTGCTGAACTTAAACCACATTTCCCAGAATTTCTTTGTGTAGGTGGTTCTGGGCTAAAGTTGACTCAGTAGACATCTCTTCAGGATTTGGAAGTCAGAGGTGAAGCCATTTTACACTTGAAAGAACTGTGTGCATCAGGTGTTGTTACAGCTCTCAAATACTTTTAATGATCTGCTGACTCATTGTGATGGGGCAGTAGCTGGGCCCACAGCTCCTCCAACTCCTTGTGAATCTTCTTCATCTTCTCTAAATCCTAGGTCAGGTGCATGGACATCTCCATGGAAAAGTGTGCCAAAATACCCTGCAGGTCACCCACATTACCAAGCCTGGAGGCATTAAAAGACAGATGGAGTTCCAGGTTGTCATTGCTTTCTGCCATTGCATGAATATCCACTGCCCCTGCTGACTTTCAATCAATACTAGACACAGAGACAAGAAGCTTATGTAGATGGTGTAAACAGCTCCCAGGGTTGCATGAGGTCTAATTCCTATGATTAATTCCTGATTCTGTATCAGTTATAGTGGCCTGCTTTTCTGATCAAGCTTTATCTGATTGATAGATCTTTTTCATCATTTGAGACTATACGTTTTTTCAGGGAGGATCTAAATAATGGAAATGCTTAAGTGAAAGAAGAGACAAATTAATAACCTTGTCAAGTCCTTCCTCTTACCATGCATATAATATATTCTTGTACAGTGAAATACCATAATATTTATTCCCAGTTAATGCATCATTATTATTCCCAGTAGTACCAAACATCCATTTTCTTTCTTTTATTTATGTTCCAATTTGTGGTTTCAGAGGTACTCACAAATTACCGTGTATTTATCATAGGTTTCAATCAGTGCATCTGTTAGCAGTGCTGGCTGGGGAAACCATGGGGGTTGGCAAAGTGTGTGGAAACAGACAGGCATTTCTGGTGCTGACCACATCAGCTGCATCCTCCTTTGTGGTTACTAATAAATTGAATTTTTTAATAAGCTCCCAATTTGTGGATTCCACCTTAGCATGCTCTAGGGAAGCCTCATTCCAGGTAACTGCTCTAGCATCTGGGTCTTGGGAACCCAAAATATTTCAAAAGATAGCTTCCCTCTTCCTCTTGGTTTCAGGAGGCTTAATTCAGTTGACAAATCCCATCTCCATAGTGGAAACAAAGCACCACTGACTTGTTCTCATGAGATGGGTCTTCCAGGGAGGAGTCTGCTAAGCAGATTGATCTGGGAAGCCCATGATGTATAGACTAGAAAGAATTTCCCTATGAGATACTGTGGAGGCAATGTCCAAATGGAAGTCTTGGGTACCCATACTTGCTTTTTATATTCTAACTCAGAACAGTTGCAATTTATGTTCAGTTGGGAAAACAAAAGAGAATACACTAAAACAGAGAACATGTGCATACTCATGTGCTTCTGCTAGGAGTATACAAGCAGCCCTGAGACTGAACAAACCATAGTTCTGGGTCTCCATTTCCTCATCTCTAAAACAAGGGGTTTGGTTAAGATGGCATTGAAGGATCCTTCCAACTGTACCATCTGCAAATTCCATGAAGCTGCATCTCTAGAGACTTGGCCTCAGATGCATTAGCACTTGGTGACTGCAGCAAAAGGGGACTTGAAGAATCATTGAAACAATGTTGGGTGACTTGCTGTCCCCATCCAGGCCCTCAGTCATTGATCTGATCAGCTCTTATAGTCTACCCTGACTTAGAAGTTGCCCTGCTCCTGAGCTCTGCTCAGTGTTTCTTTTTATGAAGACCATTTGCGTGTTTCTGTTATACATCTTGGTTGCCATGCAAACTTGGCTCACAGAAGCCTGAAACAAACCCCAAACACCTCCGTACATACTTGCTTTATGACATTTTATTTGAATGCCAATATATCAAGTTTATAGTAAATGGAGGATATGGCAGGAGACTAAAATAACACCATAGTCTTTGAACACTCTAATCTGAGCTTAATAATTTTAAGATTTTTAGACATTTGTAACTCAACCTATGGGCATAATCTAGTAGTAATGGTACTTGGGTAAAGATGTTATGCATGGCGCTCAAAAAGATTGTACTGGATCAAATAACACAGTGCTTCCAAAGGAAACTAAATCTTTTTAAAACCCTCAAACATCAGTTTAAACTGTTAACTTTAATTTTATTTTAAATTCATGTTAAAGTAATTGCATCAAGCTGGGATTAGGTACTGTCTCTAACTCTCCCTCTACATAGTTAACTATTTCATGTATTAGAAATACAAATATAGTTATTTAAAAGGGGAGGAAGTTAAAAGTAATCTAGAGGTTTCTGTCTTCTGTGGTTTTACAAAAGCAACAGAGCCAGGTGCACCATCCCTAGCCTGGACATCAGTCCCCCATCTCACCATCTGCTGGAAGAAGAACATCTATCTAAGCACATTACCTGGAGAGAGGCAACAAAATAGTACACAAGTACTTGGACAAAGTGACATTTTAGTTAGTACCTTGCTCATTAGAAATGCAAGTGTTCAAAATTGCCTTGATGGTGTTCTTAAGGCAACAACTCTTTCAATATGCCACCTATAGAGCAGAGAGAGCACTGGGCAGAAAGTCATGCAGACCAGTATTCCAGCTCAACCACTCTCTGACATCCGAGCTTTAGAAAATTTCTCTCTCTTGATCTTAATATTCTAAACCATAAAATTAGGAGGTCAATAAAATCTCAAGGGTCCTGTCAAAGCTGATGTTCCATGATCTTTCATTTAGCCAAGCTCTCCAGATGAGCAGTTAGAAAGAGAATCACCTGTACGGAGAATTTTAGAATGGCTCTTTCCCTTACTTGGTTTGTTTTACTGTGCCCCAGATGTGGCCACATCAGGAAGTGGTCTGGAAGTGCCTGAATGCTCCTACTTGGGCAATCTCAGGCTGCTGTGGGGTAATATCCATGTCATTATGTAGGAAACATAGGGAAACAAAGGAAAGTCTCTGATTCCACTTTTTCTTGACAAAATAACACTCCGGGTTCCCAACCACAAGGAGGCACTGCACTGTCAGAAAGGGCTAGGACCCTCCAGCAAGGAGCTAGTGCTGGGTTCATCAAAGTCTATACCAGCAGACTGACCCACAAGATGAGTGGATGTGGGTCAGCGTCAGGATGGGTTCATGAAGGTCAGGCTCTGGGAGAAAAGAGGGCGGCCCCCAGACAGTGAGGCCATGAATGTGGGAAAGCAGTCAGAGCTGAACAGTCAAGGAACAGCCCAAGTCAGAAGAGAAGGGCACTTCCTGACCTTGACCGTTCGAGAACATCCTAATTCAGAGGTTTTCACCAAGGCCCAAAGTCCCATTCTTCCCTATGTATCTCATTCCCTTGGCCCCAGTGGTATAATGTAGACACACGAGCTAACGTTCAGAAGGGGGTCAAAACACCAGTGTTAACACTCCATCGTTCCAAGTTCTTAGTAAGTGTCCACCTGCGCTAGACAAAGATCACTCTTGGAAACCAAGTAGCTAGTATTCCATTCAGAAGAATTTCCACATAACTTCCTTTTGTGCTCTTAAAATTTAAGTGCCCAGATGTGATCTTTGAGGCATTTAGCTACCCTGAGACTCATGCTTCACTCAGAATTCAAAGTCTTTGATTTTCTTTTTTAAGCACAAACATAAGGATTTGAAGTGGTAACTTTTTCCATATTGTGGTCCTCAACTTCGTTTTCCAAAATTCTTTTTTCTGCTAAATATAGAGCAAAGTTACCTGTAGAGCGTCTTCAATATTTTTTGAACTTATATATATATCTAGAAGAAATAAAATAATTTTCTTATTATAAATGGGCATTTTAAATAAAATACAGCTACAGTAAAAATAAGATGAAAAATTTAAATGTACAAATGATCATAATATTTTAATGGCATATATTTTATTCATCTACACAGCTAAGGTCTTGTTTTGGCAGGAAAAGAGTAAAGTTATTAAAGTTAAGTTTTGTTTAAACTTATATAATTGTTATAATTTATTTCAGTTAAACTCTTTTTTCTTTGTTAAAATAGTTGTTACCTATCACGTAAATTGAATTATGTCCTTGAATTTATCATGAGTTTGTTTTCATTTCTGTTCTTGGTGTGAAGGTTCAGACGTAGGAAATGGTTTCCTGTATGAATCCCTGTGATAAAGACACCACATTAACTTAAAGAATAATTTCTTTAAGTGATGCACTTATGAATTTGTTTAATTTCATTTCTTATAGTAGAAATTAGCTGTTTTAGAATCTTTAAGCATTTTACACACCTTCTATGGATAGAGTTCTAGTAAGGAGATGATTCTCCCTTAATGAGCACAATGAGTGTTTCAAGTAGCAACGCTGCCTGATACCTAGGGTCTTTGTCTGTGAACTATTTAGCATTTAGTAAGCTCAGCTTTGGGTGAATGGTATGGTCGGGGGAGTGAGGAGAGAAAGGATTTCCTTTCCTGTCCTTAGGGAACTTTAATTCTTACTGGGAATATAAGTAACAATCAAGAAACAGTAAGAACTAGAAGAATTACTTGTATTTGGGATACAAAATGTCCCCAGATATAACGCTTGCTCCCACCCAATCTCCAATATACCTACACTGTTTGGTATTCTTTGGAAAAGGTGAGGTGGGAGAACCTCTGTTTCCCTAAGCCCTCAAAGACCAGTTTTGAGATTTTCCTTATTTTCTTCCATCATTAACACTTTCCAGGAGATAAGACAAAGAGGGTACAGGATTGTGATGATTAATTTTATATGTCTACTTGACTGGGCCAAAGGGTGCCCAGATATTTGATCAAACATTATGCTGGGTATATCTGAATGGAATTAACATTTAAATATATAAATTAAATAAAGTAGATTGTCTTCCCTAATATAGGTGGACCTCATCCAATCAATTGAAAATCTGAATGGAACAAAAAGGCTAAGTAAGAGAAAACTCCTCTTGCTTGAGCTGAAACATTGAGTTTCTTCTGCCTTCAGTCTCAAACTAAAAATTCTACTTTTTTGGTCTTAAGCCTACTGACTTTGGACTGGAACCACACCATTAACTCTCCTGGTTTTCGGACTTTTGGACTTGGACTAAATCTGCACCATCAGCTCTACTGGGTCTCCAGCTTGCTGACTGCAGATCTTGGGACTTGTCCAGCTCCATAATTGCATGAGCCAGTTCCTTAGTATAAGGAGATGTTTGTTCTGTTTCTCAGGAGAACTCTGACTAACACACAGGTCTTTCCCTTTAGCTTATCAATATTTAAAGTACTTTTAAGCTATTCCCCCATCCCCAAAAAAAAAAAACAAAAAATGAGAGAAATGCAAGAGTGTCTAGCTTTGCAAATAGCCAACCAGTCCCAATGTTGGCTGAGCTTTTCCAGCCAACACTGGTTCCCATCACTCTTTTCTGAACTATTGCTGTCCTGGGTCTCCAGCTTTAATTGCTTAGAGAATGTAACCATTCCCCTACTATGAACCCACAGGTTGGTGTTAAGCATAGTCTGCAGCCCCACCAAGTGCCACTCAGTACCCTTTTCTCTGCCATCTGGAAGTGGTTCGGAGCCATTCAGAGGGGTCCTCTGCCTGATTCTAACAAGCATTTCTTTTACTTCTCACTCCCCTTTGAGGTCCCATACTGTCTTGATTCTAGCCTGGGCCTCCATTTACATTTTCTACTTCACTTGAGGCACATTGCCTAAAACTTCACTGAAGGGCAGTGCTACGGTTTGAATTTGTGTCCCCTCCAAAATTTATGTTGAAACTTAATCCTCAATGCAATAGTGTTAAGAGGTCAGACCTTTAGAAGGTAATAAGTCCATGAGGGCTCTGCCATCATGGGGGGATTAGTAACCTTATAAAAGGGCTGGAGGAAAAAAGTTAGGCCCTTTTTCTGCTTTCCATCCCTTTTGCTTTATGAGGACACAGTGTTTAGCCCCTCTGGAGAATACAGCAACATGGCACCATCTTGTGAGCAGAGAATGGCCTTTACTTGACACTGATTTTTCTGATACCTTGATCTTGGACTCCCCAGCCTCTAGGACTGTGAGAAATAAATGTTGTTTATAAATTACTCAGTTTGTGGTATATTGTCATAGCAGCACAAACAAAGACAGAAATAGGTGCTGGGAAGTCAGGTTGTTGCTTTAGCACATACCTAAAAATGGAAAAGCAGCTTTGGAACTGCATAATAGGTAAAGGCTGGGGGAGTTTGATGGTGCATGCTAGAAAAATCCTAGGTTGCCATAAATGGCCCATAATGGGTGAATCTGGTGAGGACTCAGGAGATCAGGAGAGCTATAGACAGAGCCTCAGTCTTAGAGATTACTTAAGTGGTCGTGATCAGAACGTTGGTAGAAATACAGACAGTAAAGCCTACTCTGATGAGATTTTAGATGGAAATGGGGGACATCTTATTGGAAACATCTTATTAGAAAGGTCACACTTGTTACAAAATGGCAAGGAACTTGGCTTAATTGTGTCCATGTCTTAATGTTTTGTGGAAGCAAAGCTTAAGAGCAATGAACTAGGATAATTGGCAAAAAGAAATCTCTAAGTGAAGTGTTCAAGGTGCTGCACTTCTTCTCTTGACCACTTAGAGTAAAATTCAAGAAGAGAGAAATGAATTAAAGACAGGATTTATAATCAAAAGGAAGACAGAGCTTAAACATTTGGAAAATTCTCAGCCTGGATATTATTGTAAAGAATATAAAAGCATGTCTGGGAGAAAATATCAAGGGTGTGGCCAAGCAACTGTTTAATGAGGACATTTGTACAGATAGATAGAAGACAGGTGCTATTAATCAGGACAATGGAAGAATGACCTTGAAGAGGTATTGGAGATCTTCCAGGCTGCCACTCCCATCACAGGCGCAGAGTGCTAGGGTCTTTAGAGCAGAATGGTTTCAGAGAAAGGATTCAGTGCTCCTGTAGGACCTTGGGGCTTGCTGCCCCAAGTTTCTGCTCCCTGCATTCCAGCACAGTGCTCCTTGACCATGCCAGCTGTGGCTCAAATAAGCCCAGGTACAGCTTCGTCTGCTGCTCTAGAAGGCACAAGTGGTAATCCTTGGCAGTGTCCACCTGACGCTAACTCTGCAGGCATGCAGAATACACAAGCTAAGGAGGCATGGCTGCCTCTACCTAAATTGCAAAAGATGCCTCAGAGAGCCTTGGGACCCAGGCATAGAACTACCACAGAGTCAGGGCCACCACAGAGAATGATCACTAGGGTAATGCCTAGCAGAGTCATGGGGCTGGGGCCACCACAGAAAGTCTCCACTAAGTCAATGCTTAGTGAAGCCATGGGAGCAGGGCCATTTCCATGGCCCCAGAACTATAGAGCCACCAGTGTGCAATGCCAGCCTTGGATAGCTGCAGGCACCTCACTCCAACCCCTGTGAGCTGCTGCATGGGCTCCACCCAATAAGGCCATGGGGGCGGGGCTGCTGGGAACCTCTGACACCCAGCCCCTGCCCTAGTGTGTCTGGAAGGTAGAACATGGAATCAAAGAAGATTATTCTGGAGCCTTAAGATTTAATGTTTGCCTTGCTGAGTTTTAGATTTGGTAGAGACGTGGTACCCCTTTCTTATGTCCTGTTTCTCCCTTTGGAATGGAAATGTCTGCCCTATCCCTGTCCCACAATTGTATTTTGGAAGCACATAACTTATTTGATTTCCTAGGCTCACAGCTGGAGGGCAAATTTGCCTCAGGATAAATCACACCTTGAATCTCACCCATATCTGATTTAGATTATACTTAGATGAGAATTTGAACTTAGACTTTGAGCTGGAATGAGTTAAGACTTTTGAGGCTATTGGAATGGAATCAGTGTATTTTGTGTGTGAGAAGTACATGAATTTTGGGGGGGCTGGGGGTGCAATGCTATGGTTCGAATATTTGTGTCCCCTCCAAAATTCATGAGGAGAAAGAAAAGAGGAGAAGGAGGAGCAGAAGGGGAAGAAGAAGGTGGTTGGAGGAAAAAAATGTAACAACTTGGAGTAATTTAGCCCACATAACAAAGGAACCTGGACCCAGTATGGGAACTTTGTAAATCTCAGCCCAGGACTCTTTGCAGTAACTTGTCCTTTTAAGACAATTCCATGAAGCATTACAGTGGAAGCCGTTCATCTTCAGAGCTTCAAGAAAGGGTCCTAAAAGCCAGAGTGGTTGAATGGTTGATGAAGGTTTTTAGAGGAGGTGGGATTTAAGTTGGGCCTTAAAGTTTGAAGAAGATTTGGAAAACACACATTCCTGGGGCAAAAGGCACAGGTAAACAGTTGGGGAATGTTAGAATACCCACTGGACACTTGTCATCTGCCTCTAATATCTATCTTTTCCAAGAAGAGGAACTCACAAGCATATGAGGAAAGCAAACTAGCCAGTGTGCCAAATGCATTTTCAAATGAACAGGTGTTCAAATTGTATGCAGCTCATCTTTGCACTAAAACAGTAAGTCAGTAGTGGCATGCGTTCTCGTCATTAAGTGGGGCTGCTGTGAGTGTTCAGTGTACAGGTTGCTTGTTACCTGTCAGCCCACAGCAGTAGGCTGCCTGAATATCTCAAAAGTAGATGGAGAAATGCAATCTGCAAGGACAGTTGAGGCTCCCACAGGAGCATAGAATTGCCTCTAAGTACAAGGCCTCATGAACATTTTACATCCCCTTGGGAAATCCCTCTAAACCCCTGCCTCACTCGTTTCCTGGTACAAGATCCAATAAATCTGCACACTCAGCTTAAACTTAGTGCCAGGCCTCATAATGGAATGATTACATGTGTTTTGTGTGTCAGAGACCTGACAGAAAGATTATACAGTGTAGTGAAGCAATCTTTGGGGTTTTGGCAGGGAAAGAGAGGAGATAAATATGTGTCCAGGGTAGAAAAATGGCAGCTCGCAGAATTGCTGTCTCAATGTCACTCAATCATTCAGCAAAAATGTATTAAGTTTAGGTCAATAAACATTTATCAAGTTCCTCCGATGTGACAGGTATTGTATTACATGCTGTGAGAACTGAGGTGCACAGGACACATCATTTATCCTTGGTGCTGTGAAGTCCACTAGGAGAGCCAGGCATGTAAAAGATGGTTTTAGTGTAATGCAGCAATGTAATAATAGGGATTCTGACAAGGTACGATGGTGGCACAGAGAAGGGAGACTTAGCTCAGCCTGGAGTGTCAGAGGAAGCTTCTGAAGGATGATTCAGGAAGGATGAGTAGTGTGAAGGGGTAGGAATGCTCTGAACTGAGGAAATAATGTGAACCAAAGTACAGAAGTGGAAATGATCCTGGTATGTTCGTGAACTTGGGGGATACGTAAGGGAACAGGAGGCGGATGGACATAAATGGACTAAAAAAAAGAGGCTTGGAATTATTGGAGTAAAAAGAAAGATTGATGAGTGCTGCAAGGGATTCAAAGAAAAAGCACAAACAGTTCTACAAAGGAACTGAGCAGTTGGTCAAATTAACAAGTTAAAGATGCATTTACAGTTATAATAAATACAAGACCCCCTTGTAAAAGATACCAAGCCCAATAAGAAAGTGGTAAAGTGCCAAAGTGAGTTGGAGAATTACATGAAATAGGCTTATAAGAGGGAGAAGACACTAGCTGGGGAGAGAGTTCCAGGAGGCAATGGTATTTCAGCAGATGGGAGGATAAGGTATAAATAGGTAGAAGAGAAGGAGCATGTCATCCCAGGCAAAGAGAACATCCCGAAGTACCTTTAGGTTTAGTCACTTTAGGATCGCATAGGAAGAAAGACCTTAGTGTAACAAAAAACTTGCAGAATGAAAACTAAGGTCTCTGTATATAAAACATTCTAAGTGGGAGAAATTTCTTCCCTAGAAGGTCAGGTTGGGAAGCAACTATAAAGAGAACAACTCATGGATAATGTGTAGATTTACAAGAAAGACAGGATGGGCAATGCTTTTGTAGCTTCAGTACTCAGCTGTGTTCAAGAAGTTTCCTCTTTTTAAACAATCAATAGGAACACTCTGTTCCTAGGTAGAGAATACAAGTATGGTTCTAAATCAAAGAGAATTTATAGAAATCTGCAGTAAGGAGTCTAATATGTCAGGTGCTTAAAGTTCTTCAACCATGGCCTGTTAAAGGGAACAACTATAACTAAACGACTTTACAATTTATCACAGAAACCAGGACAATTGCGTCTGGGACAAAAACAAGACAAGATCCTAGGAAAGCCAGTGTGAATGAGGATCGTCTAGGAAAACTGGCACTCTTGATCTGTGTATCAGTTGGGGTCCAGTCAGGACAACAGAAACCACACTAGGCATTTCAACAGAGAGAATTTAATATAGAAGATGGGTTAAACTGGTCCAAGAAAGCAAACTGGGAGCACTAGGGAAAGGGTGGGGAAACAAAGGCAAAGATTGTGGGTGTCAGCATCTAGAAGCTCAGAGGACGAACCCTGTAGGACTGGGCTCAGCCCTCTGAGGAGGCAGCACATCCTTGCTGCTTCTGGGTGGCTCAGGAAGTCTATAGGAAGTCCATGGAGTAGAGGTTCAGCTCTCTGAGGACAGTTATTGCCCCACTGGGGAGGGCACCTTCCTAGGGCATGATGAGATTGGTTCTGGGAGTGCTGAAAGAAGTTGAAGATTGGAACCAACTGGCGATGCTAAGTGAAAGTCCATCGCTAGAGGCCAACCCCTGGTTGCTGCTCCCATGCCCCTATTTGCAAAATCTAAGAGAAAGTCATCTGACAGAGGAAAACTTTAGCCTGCAGATCCCAGCCCTGGTGTCACACAGCAGAGCGTAGAAATGTGGACTTGGAACTGAGCAACACTGGCGTAATAATGGGCACAGTTGTTCTTATTGTACTTGCAGCACCAGGCTTGAGAACGGTTCTGATTTTGAGGAGGAAATTCTCCTAAAAGATCCTTCAGCTCAATAAGTGATAAAAATCACAGTCTAGTCTGCAGAAGAAAATAGGATTTATCAGTTATTCCCTTTGTGCCACGAACTTTACAAACGTTAGTTCATTAATCACAATAATCCCATAGAACTTGTGTTCATCCTGTTTTTACAGATGAGGAAACTGAAGTTTCAGGTGGTTAAGCTGTTTGCCCAAAAACAAGTAGCTGGGGAGAGGCATGTTCTAGAGACATGGACTAGAAGCCTGTCTCTTTCCACCACCTCTTGGTCTTTCTAGGGAGGAAGCTGCTTCTTTACAGGGCTGAGGCCCATGATCCTGGATGGAGGGGCAATGGCTGGACCACTCCTGGAGGCCCTGGGCCAAGTGACCTCTGCTGGCCACTGGTTTCTGGAAAGCTCATCCCCAAAAGGTTTTCCATCCTTTGAGTTCACACCTAGCCAGACTCAAAACCTAAAGTGATTTATTCCCACTAAATGCTGGCCTCACACCCATGGGAAGAAGCCAAGACTTTGTTTGAATGAGCTCGCCATCTCTTGGAGAAAGCATCACGCTGCAGCCACCCATAGCTATGTTTTGGAGAGAGTGTGTTTGTGTGTCTGTTCATGTATTCATGTGTCTTATAAATTCAACCTTACTCAGTAGGATGGCATTCTTGGATAATAGACCTTTCAGCCAGAGGGCCAAAATTGCAAAGACAACAGTTATTTTTTGGCTGAATCAAGTTCTTCAGCCTTAGCTGAAGACGAAGGCAAATTGTGCCTGTGTTTTCTGGAAATGCTGATGCTGAGATGGGACCTTATTGAGGAATTCACCAAGGCCCAAGGGAACTGAGAAGATAAATGCTACCAGGCGGCTGCAACTTGAGCAAAATTCAAAAACAATAGAATGTCAACTGAAGATCATAGAGACTGTGGCAAGTATGACAGAAAGCAAGGGCAATGGCTAGGTCCTGAGACCAATGAGGATGTGGATAATGGGTGCTGGCACTACAAACACTGCTTTGAAAGAAGCTTGAAGAAAAGGAGGCAGATTCGGCACTCCCTACCCAGGACCCCAGCTCATCACTGAGGAAGAGGGAAATGCAGCCAGCGGTTTGGCAAACTGCCCTCCCCAAATACCCCTGTTCCAGCCTTCACAGTGGTTTCCTGAGCAGCTCGAGGCGGGCCAGGTATGGGTTTCTTCTGTCATGTCAGTGTTCTCACAGAGAGGGCTTTTGGGTCCTTTTGGAAAGTGACTTGGCTGGAGCCACACTCCTGCCAGTGTGGCAGCTGTTACCACTTATACCAGGAACATCTGGCTTGAAGATTGCAGTAAAAGTGACACTTGTCTACAGAGAAAAAATGTTGAAGTATACATTTTGGACATGAAGAAATAAGTAATGACATTTAATGTTTTCATAAAGCTGCTACACTGAAGAGCAATCATCCAAACCCCAGGCCCAGGCATGGGTGTATCTGTCTATTGCTGTGTGCCTGCAGGTCTATGAAAGGCTTTGTACCTGGAACATCACTGCCTGATGCAAGCTTTGTCCTCCCTCTGAAGACAAGCAACAAAGGGAGGCCCTTGGTAAGACCTCTTCCTTCAAGATCTAAATCACAAAATTGAGGAGCAGGGAGCAAAATGTAAGGAGTACCCACCAGATGACAGGAAAGCCAGCTTTGAGTTGCAATGCTGTTACTGGGTAAATCACATTGCCGGGGTCAAATTTCTCATCTGTAAAATGGGAGTGTCAAAGATGATATGTTTAAGGTTCCTCCACATTTTATATTCTGTGCTTTTTAAAACAGAGGCAATTGCACCATTCCTATGCCAAGCCTGTAGGTTAAACATGATTCTTTCCAGATCCTGCTATTACAATGCACATCCCCCTTGATGTGGTGATACTTGCCACCCCTGACTCAGGGTAAAAGAGAGTGTCAGACAGGGGCAGGCTGGAAGTTTTGGGCTCTTGGAGAGGAAGACAACACCAAAAGGGGCAGATGATACTGCCAAGACCCTGTCCTGATTTCATGCTGCCCTGTAATACTCTTCACAGCTATGTGCTCAGCATGTTGCCTTAACTTAGGCATCTTCTGCATTTGATTTTAAAGAGCAGAGGCTGAAGAGAAGATGAAGCACACTTTCAGTAACTAGCTTCTGTTTGGTTGGTAGAATGTCAACTGGCGATGCTATAATGACCACAGTGAGGCTGGCAGAGATTTGGGTAATCAAATAAGAGTGTATATTTAATAACTTTTTGATTTGCGAGTGATCAATCCTTTGCATAGTTCAATGTCTTTTGAATTAAAACATGTTATCTCTGCCAAAATTACATGTGAACAATGCATTCCTAATGTGCAATTATCATCAATAATATGTATGTTACTGGGTAAATGCATGGCTCACCAAAGAAGATCCTATAAGCCCTTTGTTATTTTCTCTTCTTCTAGGAGGTGCCAGGCTCCTGCTCTGGTGCCAGGAGAGGGGAGTGACCATGTGGAAGGGCCAGCGTGAGGTTGCTGGCCAGCCCAGACTGCTTACTGTCAGGCCAAAGCCGAGGAGGCAGCAGATTTAGGGCTTGTGGTTCTGTAGGGCACCCGCGGTTTGGTGTTGCAATCTTTCTAAACTTTAGTCTACAGGCTTTTGGTATGATTTTGTAGCTTTATCTCTCAGTTCTAGAAGCTGAGATTAAAGCAAAGACACTGAACAGAGCTAATGCCTGGGCCTGGAGATCCGAATGGTGTACACTGCAAACATTCATGTGCCTACCTAAGGGAGCAGGAGGGAATAGGACTGGGACATGGCCTGGGCTTCTGCATTTCCAGCAGGCTCCCAGGTGATGCTGATGTCACTGGAAGACCACACTAAGTAACCAGGGTGCTGCCATTATGAGCTTGGGTTTTGGAATCAAATACCTAGGTTTAAGCCCTGGCCCCAGACTACCTAGTTATGTGACTTTGGGACAAGTATGTAATATTTCCAAGCCACAATCTCCTCAGACATAAAGCAAGAATAATCATTATCTTGATGCTTCAGTTTGCTAAGAGGATTCGTGAAGCTCATGCTGGGTCTCAGGGCCTGCCAGGCTCTGGAGAGGAGTGGGTCCTTGGAAGAACTGTGTCCCACTACTGACCTCTGAGGCTTCCTTCCACTTCCAGGACCACACTCATGAGCCTAGGCACAGCCTCAGAAAGACTCCTGGGCCTCAGTGCTTCCTTAAAACAGGGGTAACAGAATGGCATCTCCTGTGGGAGGTGAACCACAACAGAGCCACATTTGCTCAGGAGCCCTGACTCCTCTGTGACAGAAATCATAGTTCATGGGAAATTTCTTTTAAACCAGAGCCCTATATACACTGATCCTAAGGAAATCTTTATAAACACTTTAGAAGACATGCGAACATGATCTCATCTACACATATGATAGGTGACAAAAATTGACAGAACTCATATACAACACTTTATGCTACTGTTAAAACCAATAGACATGTAAAGTGAGTTTTTACCAAAACAAAGTTGAGAAGTACTGTTAAAATAAAAGCATTAAAAACAACAGCAACAACAAACATGTTGCCTACTGCCTAATGTCCTGACCCCAAGTGACACAAGAATAATCAGCTATCCTAGTGTGTCCCTTCAGCTGTCTAGACTGCTTCTGTGTGAGAATAACTGGAAATCCTATGAGAAAATACGGAATGTGCAGGGTGAAGAGCAATCAAAGACTCCTCATTGAGCTGGTGTCACCTTCCTTCTCTTTGAAGCTTCTGATGATACTCATGGAACAAACTATGGGTTTAAAAAAAAAAAGCCCACTAGTGACTTTAGAGGCCTCTTTTCCCTCCTCTTTCCACATATGCAATCAACTCTCCAGCACTAAAGGTAACTTCCACTGGCCTGAAACTACAGACCCCCTTTGGCTTCTGTTTGACCTGTTTTTGGAGGGCAGCTTTGCTTCTGGGTTCTCTTCTCTTCCTCTGTGTTTTCAAGGGAGCTCTTCTGCAAAAATGACTTCTCTTTGAACTGACATGGATATTTTTCCAAGACCTAGGGTGTCCACTCACTAGGATAAATCCACATGAGGGTAGCATGGGAGCCTCTCCACGATGTGACTGGAAGAAAACCCAAGCACCTTGCCCCCACATCACCCTTCAGCCCCCTAGTAGCCAGTGCTGTCTTCAAGATTAGGAGCTAAGAAAGCCTTTCAGGAATATCAGGTCTGGTTCTTATCTCTTATAGATAAAGAAAAAGGGGTTTACAAGAAGAAACATACTGAAGTGTATATAATGCTTTAATAAAGAGCCATTTCTTTACATCTGAATAACTTCAATCCTCAGGATTCTCCTTAGCAAGACCCAGACCCTACTGGGTAGAATCGTTCTTTACTAATGGTTCTCAATATGTATGTGCTCTAAAGACCACTAGTGCCAGAGTCATCAGTGGAGCTTTTTAAAAATGCCAACTCCCCAGCCCACTGTGGGCCTCCTAAATCAGAGTGCTGGGGATGGGGCCCGGGAATCTGCATATTGACAAACTCTCCGGGTGATCTCGTGGCACAGGACTTTTGACAAGCCCCTTCCTAAACCACTGACAACTTAACTCTCCAATACCACACAGGCAGGATCTAGCTGACTGACCCGCCCTTGAGCTGAACTGGGGTATGTGCCCGGCCCTCCCTTTCCTCAGTGGGTGGCCCTTGTACCAGGTTGGCTAAGACTGAAATGCCCTATCCAGGCATCCTGCAGTGGCACTCCTGCTCCTAGTCACTTTGCTGCCTGTGCAGGACCCTGGGCACTGAGAACTAATCTCCTTTCCTATCTGTATGGATCTGGTAGCCTGGCACAGCTCCCATCAGCTGTCTTCTCTGAAAATTAAGAATGAACTATCCTGACTACGATACATGGCTTATTCCTCCTTAGATAATCTCCTGAAATGTTTGTTACAGAATGAAGTTTTGGCAAATGAAGTCATGATTCCAGAAACTCTCTATCTGGAATAGATAGATTATAATACTTTAGTTTTAAGTTTTCTCTCCATTTCTTTATTGTTGACATGTGATATGAAAACCAATACTTAAATATACTAAACCCGACCATTGGTCATTTTGAAGTGAAAATCATATGCTAATATATATTTTCTTTTTTGTTTTGTATCTACTTCAAGTGTTTCAGCAAATGCTTTTCTTTTCCATGGAAAGGTTCTCATGTAGGGAATTGGAGATATGACCAGCAAATTCATTTGCCTGGAGTCACCTAGGAAGAGAGTTATGGTGGGAACTGGCATTTCAAGTGTCCCCCCACTTCCAGCCTAGACCATGGAGGAAGAATATCTGTCTTTTGAGGGTGGCTAAAATAAGGGATTGTGGTTTTCCGCTGTGTGCAGAATCCCCACTACATTGTGATGTAACTCAGATGCACAAATATGACTCTATGACTCCTCCTCCTGAGTCTAACTTCCTAGAAATCAGAGAAGGAAAGATTTATTTGTATTTATTTATTTTTGCTGATGGGGTGGTCCCCTCCCAGTTCACTGTATTCCCTTTGTGGAACATTCTCAATTCCAATCTGTCATCCTTCCATCCCTCTCATCTCCCCAAAACTGATGCTTAAGTTTAAGTTGCACTTGGTAGAGGAACACCAGGTATTAAAGCCACATCCAGTAGGATGCCTTTCAAGTTCCCAGGAGCAATAGCATCCCTTCTAGTTGGGCCACCGCCTTGGGGGCTCAGCACCTCTTCAGGGTGACAGTCTGAAGCCAGGAAGCACCCCTGGTATAAACACTAAAGAGGCAGAAGCACCTGGCCTCCTTCTATTCAGTAGGTAATTCTACTCATCCATTAGGTGAGGCACAGCGCGGCTTTGCATCACTTAGGGAGGGTTGGTGAATGTAGTAATTCTTTGGAATGTCCAAGTTGGGTCCACTCCCTTTCCACCCCTCACTGCAAGCTCAGGATAGGGAAGTGGGAGGCCCTGCCTCAGAGGAGCAAAGTGAGTGATGGGCAGCAGGAGGACACAGCCTTCCTCTAAGAGCTTGGAGCAGGTAGGGAATCTGTCTTTCTCTCTGCCCTTTTCTTGCTTGTTTTCTCTGGGTATTTTGCTCCAATGAGTGGACCTGACACTTTAGGAACTCATTCTATGCAATGTGGCATAGTCCTCTGTAGACAGAGAATTAACCAAAGAGCTTGTTAATAGGTATATTCTTAGGATTTCTCTCTTCAGGTCTCTATCTGAATACCTAGAGCTATGATGACAAGGGAGGGTCCTGCTAGAATATTCTGTACGGAAATCCGAAAAAAAAAAAAAGGAAGCAGCAGAGGAACTGGAATCTAATGGTCTGGGAGGAAGGAGAGGATAGGAAACCTCACGTGTTTCAGGGAAATCGATTCACGGAAACAGACTCTCTCTCTTCTTCCCGCGCTTCTTCAGAAAGCCAGGATTTGGGATCCGAAGCAGGACGTGCAGACCTACGAGGGGCTGCGGACGGAGGCACCGGAGGGCACTTCTCACCTCCGGGTGTGCCGGGAGGGGCACGCGGACCGAGCTTGCAAATGCAGGATGGGGTCCCAGTAGATCTTTGCTCATCGTCTTCCCAGGACCAGAAGCGAACGGCGGCAGATAGTTGCTAGGAATTTCGGATTATTTAAAAACAAACAAACAAACAAACAAAAGCCCTCATCCATCTGAGAGCAAGGACGTCTGGTTTGGGGCAGGGAAACAGAAACCCCGTGGCGAGAAGAAATTCCTCCTCCGTTTGCTCTTTGGAAGGGTAAGCGTGTGCGTACTTTTAAATGAGTAGCAGCAAACTTCTAACTGAGAAAAGAAAAACTGAAGGACTAAAATACTCTTGGGCAAAGTGAAATAAGGATACTGTGGGTTTGCGAGTTTTCCAAGAAGGGGTCCCGAGATGTGGCTTGCTCGCCAGCAGGGGGCACGTTTTCTTTAGGATTGCGTCCCAGAATCTCGAAACCTCGCAGCCGGACTCTCTCCGAGTCCCATCGCCGGAAATCGCTCTGCAGATAATAACCCTCCGGTGTCTGGAAATGTTTAATTACCGCGAACTCTCCTTCCTCCAGCGCCACCCGCCGCCGGTGCAGCCCGGAAGGACCCAGCGCCGCGGGTGCAGTAGGTGGCTCTATCTGCAGGATTCCACCCTAACTATTCACAATTCCGTTCAAACTACTGTTCTCCAACATCCCCGGCTGATTAGACATTGCCTTGTTTCTAATGCACTTATTTACACCTTGGAAAAAGGAAAAGTTCATTAACCTTAGTACATAGATCTGGATGTGTCTAAAATAGTCTGACAACTCAAATTTGTGTAAAAAGTAAAAACCCATGCCGTCTTTTACATACATTTTACATTTGATCTTCACAACAGAAGACATCATCATTCCATTTTCCCGATGATCGTATGCCCATGCAATTCCATGCTAGTATTTATGCTTCATGTCACACATATTTTTACAAACCAAAGGTATATGTGTGTGTGTGTGTGTGTGTGTATGTATTGTTACATTTATTAAGGTGAAAGAGTTACATTTGTGTGCCCGTAAAGAACTTACCAAACGGGAACTGCCTGGAAAAACAGTTCACTTTCCCTTTCAGTTTTGATACTGTAACTTGTCTGTCGCTGTCACAACAAAAAACACCCGCTCTTGCGTTCACCTGGCATCTGTTCTCTTAAGGACCCTGGATTGCATTACGTTATCAGAGGTGTTATCTGAACAAATGTGCGCAGGAGTCCTGTTACCTACCTCCCGTGCTTAAAAATCCTTCCCACCCCCAAGCTGGATTTTGACCTGATTGACCGTAATGGTTCCAGAGGAACTATTGAGCCATTACTATCCATCATCTAAATGAATACAGAGGGACGCCTAAATCTCCAGGTTATTTGAAAGCCCTGTACATGCGTAAGGGGGTTTCTAACGAGCAGACCCCCAATTGTCTGCAAAGTAGTTACAGGAAGTAGTTGCGTTGGAAGCAAAAATTCGCAAGTGCTGAGCAAACTTCATTTGAAAAAATGAGGACTTTTTTTTTTTTTTTTAGGCTATGGGGTGCGGAGAGGTGGGGTTCATTTTTTTTTGAATCCAAAACAACTCAAAGCAATATAGACCACATTCTAGTTAATTTTCTGGAAGCTGCTCAATTTTCACTCCGAAGACAGGCTGGGGCGCTTTACCAAGGAGCAGGAATCGGGAGAGGGGCTGGGGTTTGGCGTGGAGACATGAGCAGCGGGCCGTCACCACCGCAGGCGTGCCCAGGAAAAGGCGGCAGCAGGGCTTGCTGCGGGACTGGGTTCAGTGCGGTCCACAGCCCGGAAGCCCGGGCAGACGGAGGGATCGCTCCCTTGACGGACCTCACATCGACTGGCGGGTTGTGGAGCGGAGCGCCGGACGGAGAGCTGGAGGCCTGGTCTCTACTGAGGGGACCCTTCTTCTAGGCTGCCCGGTCCCAGCCGAGTCTGGGACCACTCCGGCGCCCGCGGTTCCGCCCCGAAGGCAGTGAGCGAGAGAGCCAGAAAGAGTCGCGGCGGAGTTCGCGCCGGCTGGAGTCCGCAGGCTCCGAGCTAGCAGAAGCTGCAGCCGCGGTGGCGGAGTGCGCTGGACTCCCAGTAATGAGATGGGAGTTTTGTCACCTTCATTGGGTTTCCAGGAGGGCAGAACTGTTGGGTCCTAGCTACCGAGGACTTTTACCAAATTCGAAACGTGACGTCCTCGCGAGTCCTAAACACATGTAACCTCGCTTAAAAAGTACCCTTGTTGCTCTTAGGTGTCCTGCGTCCTTCCCTTGTCAATCCATCCAAGCGGTAGTCCGGGCACTGCGCAGCGACGCAGGGCCCGCTTAACGTGATCAATTTCTCTTAAACAGGCGGGGGATGGGATACCGCAGCACCGAACGGCCGGAGGGATTCTTAGCTTCCTGGGCTTCTTCCTGCCTGCCCCGCCCAGAAGGAACCCAGACTTTGGTTGGCCTCCTGTGGAGGTCAAGGCTAGGGTTTGGGGGTCACCCCCTTGGGAGCTCAGAGCGGGATGGAGGACTTTTCAGCTCCTAGCAATTCTTGAATTTCGTTATCCTGGCTTTCTGAGGCTGTGCATTGTCAGCGACCTAGGAGACGCCTCTCTGAAGCCAGGCTTCTGAAACAGGTGAGCCCTTGTGGAGAGCCATCGTCACTAGCACTCAGGTGCACTCTGGCCTTGTCCTGTTGTGGCCTTGCTGACCAGCTCCAGGCAGAGGTGGTCATGATTTCTCTGGGAGGCACAGCCTGGGGGACCAACACCAACCTTGCTTCCATCTACTCTACATCTGCTCTACAACCTGCTCTACATCTACTAAGTTCTAGAGACCTGAGTCAGGATCAGTTTTCAAGATAATCTGGCAAAGCAGTGGTGAAACAACTCGGTTGCATGTTTCTTCTTTAAGATCAGGAACACTTTCTCTCCGAGAGCTCTTTAGGGATCCTACTACTTAGGGCTTTCTGGAAGTTCTGAGGCATATTGGCCAAGGGCCCTGTTTTAGAAAAGAAAGACAAGGAGAAACATAAAAGAAGCCCAGCTGAGTTATGAGGGGTGCATAGCAGGAGTTTGGGTATTTACACCCCAGGAGGTTCCATCCCACCTGAATGACCAGCCACTATTCCTAAGTGATCTGGACAGCCAGAGGCCCTATCGTGTGGGCATTTTTTTTACTTCTTAACTTTTGCTGCTGGTAATGGAGGTTACCCAAGCTTTGCTTATTTGGAGAGCCTGAGGCTGGAACAAGCACACTCCCTGTGCCCAAGGTGGAAGCCAGCAAAGTTCAGCATTGCCCTGTGTAGACTTTCCCTCCAGGCCTTTCCTTGCCCTTGAAGCTTTCTGTTCTGGAATCTCTAGGAAGGAGGTGTGATCTCAGCTCTCTTCTCTTCCAAGGGTTCTTACTCTAGCAAGAATGTCACTACATCCTAGCAACTGCTAAGATTCCAGGAGCATGGACAAACTTATGTGAATCTCTTACTTCTGCACTAACCTGAGGCACTGGGTAAAAGCTGTTCGTTGGAGCAAAGATTGCACCCCCTCTTACTCCTCCTCAAACAAGACGAAGTTACCCAGGGGTTAGAGGCTAGATTCTGTTCTAAAGGCCTGGGGATATAAGGAAATCCTCTTTCAACTATGCCTTTGAGGGAGGGGAGTCTTCATTACCATCTCCCTAGGTCAGGTATTACAACCTTCTTCACCTCCCAAGAAAATCAGATTAGCTTTGCAAACCAAAGCTGGAGATAGCAGAAGCTCCTCGGGAGAGAAGCAGTACAGTACTTAGGGACCCACGGAATCTAGGATCCAGCTCCAAGAGTCACTCAGCAGCAACTCTGGGGCAAAGGCAGAGAGTGCAGTTGTGTGATCTGGACCCACACAAGTCCCAGGAAACCAGTGACTCCTCCTTGCCAAACCCAAGGCCTGGAAGGGTATTCCAGAAAGGCATTAGGGAGGGATTGGGCTGGGGTCAGCCGGAGGTCAGCTTTCAGAGATGGGTAGTCAAGGGGGTGATGGTACCCTCCATAATGCCTAGGCAATGAAGATAGAATTTTTAATGTCCAGAACTCTGATTCCTTTCCGATTAAAAACTCCACCTGAACCAGCTCCTTGACTCAGAGGCCCTGGAACTGACAACTTTGCAGCTCGTCTAGCTTGCCAGTGCGGCTCTCTAAACTCTGATCCATCCTAAAACAAATATGTAAGTAGAGAGTGCCACTGTGCATTGGGGTGAAATCTCAGAGAGTTCTGGGCCCCAGGAAAATAACTTTCCTGACCTCCTTTCCCTACTCTTTGTTCTTTCTACTGGACTCCAGAACTTAGGGTCTGGGGTCAACCATAAGCACTCAGATGTTACAGCTCGCTTGCTTCGGTGACCCTGGCCCTCCCGCACCAGGAATTAACCAGCGCTGCCTGGGTTAACACCCTGGCCCCGAGCACGCTTGGATAGCCAGGAGCTGCTCCACACTCGGGGTCTGCCGCCTCTGGAAAGAGATTCTGGGAGGAGATGCGACTCTGTCAGGCGCCAAAGTGCGTTGAAACCCAAGCCGCGGTGTGGGGATCCCGGTGCACAGAGCTACTGCCCCTCCCTCCCTCCTCCCAAAGAGCACGGGCTGTGTCCTAGGAGCCCAAGTATAGGACCTCGAAACGTGCGGTGCCAGCCCGCTCTCATCTGCTAGGGACCGTTTCCTCCAGTGCGCCAGGCGTGCCGCTCTGGACCTAAAAAGGCAGCAGGGGTCGCGCGGGACTGAAGAGGAGGGGACGCAGGTTGGGAGAGGCCGGGTCCAAGCGAGAGCAGCTGCCAAAGTCTGCTGCCCGGGTCAGCAAAAACTTTGTCTTTCATTGCGCAGGCGCAGGGCAGGGTTGGGGGGCAGGGGAGGGAGGGGAGGAATCCTGAGGCAAGGGGCGGGGGTGGGGGTGGTGGAGGAGGGAGGGTGGTGGATTAAAATAAGTAGGCGGCTCGGTGCTAAGGGATGAGTGAGTCGGAGCTCGGCCTCTCCCCGGCACGTTCTCAGCTGCTCCTGGTTCAGACCCAGCGAGGGAGCCGCGAGCGAGGCTCACCGTCCCCGGCGTGCAGGATCCGGGGCTGCTGAGCGCTCGCTCCCGCGTGTCCGGCGCTTGGAGTCCCCGCGGCAGGAGAGGAGTCGGGACACTAGAGCTCCAGGGGCGCCTGTGGGCTCCAGGGCCTCCGGCTTCCCCAGTCCCCTTCAGCTAAAGCCCCAGAGACGTGCTCAGCCCCAGGACCTCTGCGGAACAAGGTAATTGCAGTCCTGGGCGCCTGGGCTCAGCAAAGCGAATGCGGGCAGGACTCCCAGGTTCCTTGTCACTGCTCGGCGGGTGCCTCCTCTCTCTCAATGCCCCTGAAGGAAGCTCTTGCCAAACGAATGCTGTAGGACTTTTGTGAAAGTGAGAGCAGGGTGGTTGGGGGTGCTGCCTCAGGACTTCCTGCGCGGGGTCCTCGGCCTCTGACCGCTGGGGATTAAGGGGGGCGGGCCTCCGCTACTGCGGCCAGCCCGCCCGGCTCTGCGGAATCACGGGCGAGGTGCCCACGGACTTTGAAAGTCAATCTGTGGGCCCCCTTTAAGAAACCAGAGCAACTTCAGCGGGCACAAACTTTCCTGAGACGCGCTCCTAGCTCTGGCTGACGCCCAGGTTGACGAAGAAGGAAGGGAGAGGGAGTGAATGGCCACAGCCGCAGCCGACCGCGCCAGGGACAGGTGCATGCCCCAGCTCGGTAGCGCTTTCGTTCAAGTTTGTCTTTTGAGGAGTTGCGCTCTAGTATGAGGCCGCCTAGACCCGAGAGCGCAGGGCTGCGAGTCTGAACCCCGCCTTGCACTCGCGCTCTAACTTAGGGATATTCTCCATAGGATGATTGCTCTGTGTCGTCAAGGCCTGGAGCGGAACCCTTGATTGTCCTGGTGCAGGGAGGCAATGCAGTGGGCGCAAGCACTGCTTTCCAATTCGAGACCCACACACAGCACTAGTGGAAACTCTGTGGAGCCCTAGGGTCTCCGGGCTGGGGACAGGAAAAGTTCTGTTACTCCCCTGACTGTCCGCTAATCCAGCCGTCAGGAGAGAAAGAAGGGGGAAAGGGGTGAAGGGCTGCCTGCTGAACTAATTTCTCCTCGGAAATGTCTCGGAGAAGAATGAAAAACCACGTTTAGTCCTTTTTCAGCAGCTCAGGCAGTAGCGGGTTGGGTTCTCAATGTGTAAAGTAGCCGCAAGGGTTTCTTTGTTGCCACAATTTGGTAAATTTCACCCAGGCTAAGAGCTGCGCATTGGCTCTGCGGAACAAAACCACGTGCAAGGCTAGGTGTCCCAGGTTCACAACCCCCTAGGGAAGAGAAGCGCTGGAGGGGACTAGCAGCGACCGGCGGCGTGTAGATGTTCCATCCCAGGCTCCTCGAGGTAATTGCTGTTTTATTAAGATTGGGGAATGGATCACCGAGGACGCAGCGGACATTTAAGTGCAGCCGGATGACCGCCTTGCCAATGGGTTCGTTAGATCTCGTTTGTTGGGAGAATGCTATAGAAGTATCCGGTGCCGGTCAGTCCTCTTCACGGGGGTCCGGACGCCTGTCACCACTCGTTGGAGATTCGATGTCAAGGCTGATTTTCTTGGGTTGCTGCTGGGCTCCCCCAGGCGCAAACTCGTGGAGTTCGCTCCCGTTCTCATTAATGCAAGCAGTTAACTTGCTCACGCTCAATTAGCCCCGAATAAACCACTTTAATAGACTCTGCACACTTCATTAATGCCCAGCATAGGACTGGCCGCAGACCTGGGATTGGCGCTCCACCGCGCGAGGGACGCGAGTGCCCGCACTGCGCAGGGACTCGGGATCCCGAGCGCGAATTGCGTCTGCTGTGCGTGGTCGGGTCCCCTTATTCTTTCCCGCAGGTCCTGAGGCCCAAGCTGTTTGAGGAATGGGTGCCTAGCCTGGGGAAGGGTTTTCCATCCTGTGTTTAAAGATCGAAAGTATTCGCCCTGGGGTTCCGCGGTCTGGGAAACCGGAGCCGGAGGAGCCGGGGGCTCACTCATCCTTTCTGGCTGGAGAGGCTAGGGTGAGACTGTGTTTTTCTCTTAACCGACCTCCTGAAACCGGATCGTGCTTTCGGCCCATTCTTGATACTAGTGTAAAGAGCCACGTTTCGAATGAATTTCGTCCTGGGGAAAGTCGTTGGCGGGAGCCTGGGGAGCACTGGCTTCCGAATGCTTCAGAAAACAAGGAACGGGCTGGGCCGCGGAAGAAAATAAATGTAGTGTTGGGGAAAACAAGATCGGGCAGATAGCCCGGAAAGGTTGGCTCCCAGGAACCATTATAGCTGCAAGCACTCCCCCTTCCCGGCACCCCCTACGGAGCCCAAGACGGCTCCGGTCTTGGCTCTAAGGAAGAAGGCGAGGAAAGGCCTAGCGAGGTTGGTGGTTTCTCCCACCCAGGCACGGAGCGGGTTCGGGACAGTGTGCAGGCCAGAGTCCCACAGCCACGGCCGCTGGCTTGGCCTTGGATAGGCCAAGCACCCAGAGGAGCAGGGGGAGGCCTCCGCGGCGCCCAGCGGGGTCCGGGACCCGGAGATAAGGATCTGATTTCCAGCGCCTGGAAGGGAAGAAGAGGTGACAGCAATTCAAAGAGCGCTCATCCCTCCTAAGTCCAGGCCGACCTTTGAAGTTAGACAGGCTTCTCCTCCTTCCCCTTCCCCAACCCAAATGGGTCTCAGCTTCCTCTCTGGCCCAATTTGAAATTTACTTCTCCTTGTGTCCGAGCTCTGGGATAGTCTCAATTTGTCCCGGGCACGACCCGAGCTTGGCGCAGTAGAGATGACCGTTGCTGAAGCCACGGCGCTGCCAGCGGCACCAGCGCTCTGCTTCAGAGGCCAGATCACGCAGATAATATGCCTCCTCTTGCCCTGAGGCTAAATTCATTGCAACGGTTTTTATCCGAGTGCTAATTTAAACTGCGCAGGCAAATCACGGCCAGCTCGTGGTGTTTTTACACCCCATTCCCAGGAAGGCCTCTTTCCTTAGGTCCCACCACACAGCCAGTGGCCCCCGTGCCAGCTTCCAGGAGAAAAGGTTTTCCTGGGTCAACATTGCCCTCATACCTCCTGGGAAAAGGCACTGCACATCCCTGGACAGAGCCAGGCTTTGAAAGCCTCGCTGCAGCGAAAGGCAGAGGAGTCTATGCCTGGGCCTTGCCCTGGGCTGAGGGTCAGCTCAACCTGGGGAGGGGGCACGCCAAACTAGGGAGCAGAGCAGAGGCCAGTGCATCCCAGGGAAGGGGAATTGCTCCATGTTAGAGGAAAGGACCTAGGAAGAGGAGAGTAATGAAGGGTAAAGGAAGAAGTCAACAGCAGGGGATTGAAGCTAGGCAAGAGAGAAGGGAGTCCCACGGACCCTGCTGTGACAATGACTTCTTAAGTAGCCCCAAGCTAAGAGCCAGGAGTTCAGTGCTTGGGCTTCCCAAGGCTCCCTGACAGTTTAGACTTTGCTCACCCTGTTCTTTCCTCCACTGGACACATCTAAATTAGGAGTGTCTGGGAGGTAGAGATGAAAAGCATTTTGCAGAGCTCAGATGTCTCCACGGAGGCTGGAGACCATGGCCAAGGAGGTCTGGAGATGCCAACCCCTGGTCACTTCAGTGTGGCTTTCCTCTGGCCTTGCTCAAGCTCTCCAACCTTGCACTTGGAGGTACATAGACCACAGGAATGGAGGCCTGGCCTCAGTGTTCTTGCCCATAGGCATACCCACCTGCCCAGGGCTCACAACACACAAGAACATGCTGACAACCCAAAGACTCAGCTCCCTTTTTCTTTGGGGGAGTGAGGGCACTAACACCCCCTTGTTTGTGACTGCAGTTGTTTGACAGAGTAAATGAATGTGGATATTAGCAACCTCCTTGAAAGCAAAGTGGTCCCCGAGGGCTAAGGCAAGGCAGAGAGTCAGTCCACAAGCAGCTGCAGAGAGAGTGGAGCCAACAGGTTTCACTTACACTAAGGCAGGGAAGCAGATTTAAGGTCAAAGTTGAGGGTTTTGAGGAGAAAGATGACAGGGCTTCTGGAAGCCAAATCGAAGGTCAGCCAGAAGACCTTAATGAATGGGAGCCAGGAGGTGCATGCATTTGTGCGCCTGTGTATGTGTGTTGTCTGTGAGGCTCTTCATGGGTGCAATGTGATCCCGTGTGTGTGTGTGTGTGTGTGTGTGTGTGTGTGTGAGATTCAGGGGTTCCTGCATTTTTTTAAAGCCAGTGTTGTACTATAAAACATTGGTTGTCCCAGTCTTTGCACCTTGTCAATTCTGCCTCAGAATGTCTGAATCCACGTGTGCAATTCTGTGTTTATCTGCAAATAAATGTGTAAGTATGTTCCCCAGCTCCTGTTATCTTTGCAGGAGATTGTGATTCTGTGTTGACCCGGGCTTACCTGGATGTCAATTTCTACAGGACAGGCAGTTTCCCTTTGCTTGTTCCTTTCTCAGTGTCTTGCATACAGTAGGCCCTTCCCTCTATCAAGTTGTGTGGCTCTGCCAGACGCCATTTGGAGGGAGCCCTTAGACCAAGGAGGGTTCTGAAAAGAGGGCTCCCCTGCGTCTTACATTCCCACCCTCTTTGTGAGGGCAGTGGGTTTTGGGAATGGGGTCTTAGACTCTTAGCTCCTGCGCTGGGTGTGAGGAGAGGGTGTGGCTCGGCTGGAATTCAGGAGGAAGGCGACCCACCCTGAACTTCTTTATTCCTCTCCACGCCCCTGCCTTCTTCTTTTCTTTGCAGATCCGGATTGAGAAGCCACTGCAACTACCGAAATGGGCAGCAAAACCTTGCCGGCGCCGGTGCCTATCCACCCTTCCCTGCAGCTCACCAACTACTCCTTCCTTCAGGCAGTGAACGGCCTGCCCACAGTGCCTTCGGACCATCTGCCCAACCTGTATGGTTTCAGCGCGTTGCACGCTGTGCACCTGCATCAGTGGACGCTGGGCTACCCGGCCATGCACTTGCCGCGCTCTTCTTTCTCCAAAGTGCCGGGCACGGTGTCCAGCTTGGTGGATGCGCGCTTCCAGCTGCCCGCCTTTCCCTGGTTCCCTCATGTCATTCAACCCAAGCCCGAGATCACCGCTGGAGGCAGCGTTCCAGCGCTCAAGACCAAGCCGCGCTTTGATTTTGCCAACCTGGCCTTGGCAGCAACGCAAGAAGATCCGGCCAAGCTCGGTCGCGGGGAGGGCCCAGGCTCCCCTGCAGGTGGGCTGGGTGCCCTCCTCGACGTGACCAAGCTGTCTCCAGAAAAGAAGCCCACAAGGGGACGTCTGCCTTCCAAGACCAAGAAGGAATTCGTCTGCAAGTTCTGTGGCCGCCACTTCACCAAGTCCTACAACCTACTTATCCATGAGCGGACGCACACCGACGAGCGGCCCTACACCTGTGACATCTGCCACAAAGCCTTCCGGAGGCAAGACCACCTGCGAGACCACAGGTGCGGCACTGCGGGTGGCGCAAGAGAGAGCTCTCTGCCTCTGGCCTCACCATCTTTCTCCCTAACGAGGTTCTTGAGACCCCCTACTGGCTCCAAGCCTCTGGAGCTTCAGGGAATTCTTTAAAATCAAGAAGGAAAGCCTAGGAGATCCAGGGATAGGTTTTGGAGCATGGGTTCAGGAAATGTGGGAATAAAGAGGACCCAAGATTAAGTGAGGTCTCCGTGAGCTCCAGACAAGCACACAGCTTCCTCTGCCCCACTTCCTCCATCCTCAGGGGTGTGACATGTGACACATGTGACAGTTAAGTATTTGAAATGTCTGAGAAACTAATTTAGTTTTATTTAATTTTAAGTAATTTTAATTTTAATAAGCACACATGCTAGCGGCTACCATCTTCGACAGCGCAGGTCGAGCAAATTGTCCGACCCCAGCTCCCTTTACTCATCTTCAGTGTTGACCTTATAAGGAGGCCAAGTTTGCCCCTCCTGCCCACCAGGAAGGCACCTTAAACAGGTGGCTGAACCTGTTTAAGGATCAGACTTTGCTAAAGCATCTCCTTTACCTCCCCACTCCATCCCCAATTAACATTTTGTCCCATCCACACTTGGTACCTGACTATACACTTTTCCTTTGAGGGCAAGTGCCCCACAGCAGTGGGAGGGGATCTTGGGCAACTGTTTATAACATTGCATCATTTTGCAAGGATGAACTCTCTGTTTCTGCCCTCAGATATATTCACTCCAAAGAGAAGCCCTTCAAGTGTCAAGAGTGTGGGAAAGGATTCTGCCAGTCCAGGACTCTCGCTGTCCACAAGACGCTACACTCACAGGTGAAGGAGCTCAAAACCTCCAAGATCAAATGCTAAATAGAACCTGTGGGTCACAAGGACCCTAGGCCCAGCGGCCCTCTCCTCCATAGGGACCAGAAGCCTGACTCTGGCGGGCAGCGGGAGAGGCGCTCGCTCGGGACCTTCCACCTCTCCAACATTGTCCCCTGGGTCCCTGGCGCACGCGGCACTTCAGAGCCCCGCCCGGGGCCGCGACCCCGACCGTCCCTGCTGCTCCCCTAGGACGCGGCTAAACTCTTGGCCAAAAGGCGGTACTCACGTGGCGGAAGGGAAACTGCATTAAAAAAAGAACGAAAGCTCCGCGGAGCCGCAGCGGCGCCTCTCCCAGAAGTATTACTTTTTCTATTGTTATTTTATACGTTTTCTTTTTTATTTTTGTCTTTGACCATATAAGCTTGTAACTCTGACTGCGGAGAGTGAGTGGAGAGAGGAGAGGCAACGAAGTCCTTAGCACTGGCAGCTCCCACCTCCTCCTCCCGCCCCTGCCCCCACCCCCGGAGCCTGCAAAAGTGTAATCCCTGTATCTGCTTCAGCCTCCTGCCCTAGGGACCGCGGGGCAGCCCCCTCCCAGCTCTTGCAGCTCAGCTGGCGGCCGTGGGCTCCGGGACTAGGAGAGCGGGACGGGGACCTCGGGCCTGGGGTCTGCAGGGGGCCCGGCCTCCGCTGCCGCGACACTGCGAGGGAGCAGCCAGCCAAGAGCCGGGCGTTATATTGCGATTGGCACTTTATGCTGACCATCGGTAACGGACATTTATCACTGGAGTTTTTTTTTTTTTTAACTATTAAATAAACGGTTATTTTACAGGCATTGCAGGATGGGTAATTTCCCTCCTAAACGCAGGAAACCGGTTGGGTCCTCTCTTTGAGAGGACCAGGTTTCTCTGCTGGACGCCAGCGTGTCCCCCTCCTACCACCCCGTCTTATTAGGATGACAGGGCTGAGATGTGTGGAGCAACGTCCTCTCTCCCGGTTAGGTCTGCCTCCGCCCCACCATGTATTGATTTTCCTACTTTTCTCCTCCGCCTCAGGGATAGGGTCTCAGCCTTCCCACTCCTCACCGCTAAAGTGCTGTGAGTTTACGAAGAACCTAAGCCTGAAGGCAGAAAACCGCCCGTGAGAAATCCCAGAGTCTCTGGGTGCTGAGACAGCGTCTCTGGGTGCTGAGATCGCTTAGGGTGCAAGAAGAGAAGAGAATGTCTTTCCCCACCCTAACCGAAGGCCTCCCTCCTGGCCTCTGGCTTTGGGGTGGGAAGGACCCGCCCTCACAGAGCCTCAGAGCTGTAATATTTCCCGTTCCCCGGGTCTCAACACTCGGGTGCAAATACACAATGACCGCTGCCTCCCCGGAACCCCAAACCAACATCACTCCCTCCCTTAGGGTCCCTCAGACACAATTCTCTGCTTGGGACTTGTCCCCTCCTAGGATCGAGGCTCTGCACCCGCGAAGATTCCCTACAATTTTAAAGCCTTGTCAGGAATGGTGGGGGCGGGCGCCCTGGGAGGCCCGGGACGCTTAGGAGGAAAAATTCGAGTCCGCCTTCCATAAGCTGAACCTTCCCTGGGGTGTCTAGTTTTCCCACAGTTAGAAGCCAGGCCGCCGGGGCTCTTCTCCTTGGGGCAAGGCGGGGCTCCCCCCAGCTCCAGCGCCCTGACCGCGGGACCGCGCAGGCGGTGGCGCCCGCGGCCTTTCCCAAGCGCAGGATGGCCTCTCCAGCTTCAGCGCCCGGAGCGCGGCGGCCGCGGATGACAACTGGACTATAAGCTTCCCTGCTGCAGGCACCAAAAATCCCAGCCTCAAGCCGGGCCCTGCTGGCTGAGAAAGCGGCAGGGGATGCAGAAGTTAAAACGCTCTGGGCTTTCACCACCCCATCCCCACCTCCTCCGGGAACGCTCCTGAGTCCTGTGCGGGCTAGAACTTCGAGGCCCGGGAACCCAACTGGGCACTGGAGGCTGGCCCTGCCGGCGCGGACCAGCCCTGGCCTCCACGCTCAGAGCCACGCTGCCCCCTGCTGGCCAGCCCTGGAGGGGCGGCCCAGGACTTGGCACCTCAAGGGGTCTTGCCCGCAACCTCGCGAAACCACCAAGCATCTATGTGTTTGGTCCCAAAATCTTGACTGGCCCCAGGACCCACTGTGGATGAGGGGCAGGGCGCTGCTGAGTCTGGTCTGGTCTGAGGGATCTTCATTAGTTGGGCACTATCCCAATCCTTCTTCCAAGCAGTTCACAAGGTCGCGCGCGGCCCAGGATTATGCCCCCATTCCTGAGAACTGGGGCCTCTGAGTGCGTGGAAGTGGGGCTAGCCAGTAGGTTTGCGGGTGGTGTAGACGGTCTGCGCCCAAGCGGCGCACGCAGGTTGTGGTGTGGTTTGTGCCTGACCATAGCTTGTACTAGGGTCAACTGCAGAATCTTCCTTGGTTTCTTTATGAAGCCCCAGGAGGCTGCGGGCCATGGTTGCTCCAAAACAACCAGAGTGCATGGGTGAACACACACACACACAGGGTGCCCTTCCTAGTCCCTTGGCTCTTTCTGGGATGCTATCCTTGGGGTTGTCTATGGCTGCTCTTCCCTAGCCCCTGACATCCCTCCACCTCCCAGAACACATCATTCCACCTCCCTGAAGATCGAGCCTCTGCAGTTCCCGGGGCCTCAGGAAGCTACAAATGCGGTGAAATGGGGAGGTTTGCCAGCCACGTTAATCCTTTTTGGGTCACCCCACCTCCAGCACTGTGAAAACCCACCCAGTCCAAGGTCTGCAACTGAATGTCAGTATCAAGTGTGCATCCTCAAAATAACAGATTTCCAGTGCAGAATTTTAAATTGGGGATGGGGAATGGAGGGTGGGACAGGATGATGCGCAGCAACTCCCTGGCCCTCTCAGAATGCCCCTATTTGCTCTACTGATGTTTGCTGTTATCCCGGTGGACTCAGAGATCACGTCTCCCTGCAGCTTGTTCTAGTGATTCATAGACTGTGCAGAAACAGTAACTACAGGTGGAAAGGCCGGCTGGGCCTGTGGGCCATCCGACCCTATCCAGGCTACAATTCCCAGGTGATGTGGTTGGTTGATGTGGTTGGAAACTAGTGCCCCAGTTTCCTGCTCATACTCAGTGTGGGTTGCACAAAAAGTGCAATTGAGAGGGTCAGAAATGTTGGGTGGGTTTCCTTGCCTGCCCCAATTTTTCCCCCAATGCATCTCTAGAAAGTCCCAGCTCTTGTCTCCTCTCCAGACCCCCATCACAATAAGCTTCGCTGGTCCCAGTGACTGTGTGGCGCTCAGCGTTGCTGGGGCTATTTTTCAGGAGAAAAAGAGGCCGATGGTGCTGGCCAGGTGGAGTTCAGCTGGGGCCCTTCTCAAAGCTGCTAGGCCTGAAGTTTTTGTGTACGGCTGGGGAAGCTATCTGGCCTAGGACAGCCTCTTGGGCAGGGAGGGCGGAAGGTGCCAGAGACCCTGGGCACAGCCCGGAACTGCCAGATGCTGTCTCCGGTAAGATATCAGGTGCTTCCAGGGAAAAGAACAGCTTGCAGGAGCTTCTTCCTGGGAGAGAGTGTTTCAGGTTCTACCCCCTATTTCCAGAGTGTAGTTAGGGGTTAGGGACCCACTAAAAAATGTTTTCCCGCGTACTTCCTTGCCGCGGAATTCACTGCTCACATTGTGGGGAGGGACGCAATGTGATGCTCTGGGACTCCCTGACGTGACCTCAGCTCCCAGAACCTGAGGACCTGATATCCTAAATCCCCTAGAATCTTGGTGTCCCCATAGCCGGCTCAAAAGAGTCCCGTCCCACCTCTCAGAGCGCGAAGCCTCTGTGACGTCATGGTCTCCTCCCGCAGACACCGTGACGTCACAGAGGCCTCGGGCTGGAACACAAGGCTTGAATGAGGTCCACAGAGGCATTCCATTACGTAACTTCGTGACGTCACAGATGGGCCCCGCCTCGGGCTAACATATCCACACCTCTCAGCCCCGCCCCGCCCCGCCCCGCGAATCGGCCCAGGCAGGCGCCACGAATCGGTTCGTCTCCACTAACACGATCCGCAGACCCGAAGCGTTGGCAGCTGTCCTGAGTGAAGGGCGGTGCCCTGCAGCGTCCTCTTCTTGAATCAGTGGTTTAGAGTGGTCTCCCTGCCCGCGGGGTTTCAGGGCAGCAGTTGCCGCGGCGTACTCATCCCACCCACTTCTGCGCCCACTATGGCCGCGCCCACTGCGGCCCCGCCCTCCTCTCCCACTGCGCAAGCGCCACGCGCAGGCGCAAAAGGAACTCGCAGGCCAGTGCTGCTGGTGCCGGAGTCCGGAAGCTGACGGCGGTGCGTGGAAATCGTCGCGGAGTTCAGTGTTTTGCTTTTGGGGATCACAAACTCAGGGGCACACTGGCCCGGCGGGCGCATCCAGCCGTTGGCGTATGTGTGGGCAGAAAATGCAGACGAGAAAGTGGGTGGCGCTTGGCTAATGCGGGCTGGAGCCCTTGACTTGGAGTGCCCAGTCCAGCGCCGCGGTCCTACAGAGGCCCCTGGGATCTGAGCTGGCGAGGGTGGCGCGGCGGGTCCTACCCAAGGCCAGAAAGTTCGCTGCGGTCCCAGCTCTTTTGGGCAGCCTCTCTGAGGTAGAGCTCTCAGACGGTCTTCAGCCCGGTGGAACGCCCTGGTGTCCCACTCCACCCGTTCATCCCGACTTCCTGGGCCGTCTCTAGAGCCCAGTTGGTAGTTGGGCCCAGTTGGCATATGTTTCAGATGAAAAATTCATTACGGACTTGAGATGCTAGGTTGGAGACAAATCTCATGTCAGTGGCAGAGAAAGAATTCGAAGCTGTGCTTTCATTGAGGGGAAGGGCCAGAAGACCCAGCTCTAGGTTTTTCTGACAAGCACAAGTTTTGGGGAAGTCCCTGTGCTTCACTAGCCTCAGTTTTCTTCCTATAATGGGGGTAGGGCTTTTCCTACCTACCTCATTCACTTTGTGTAGAGTTAAAAGTAATACACATTTTGCCAATAATGTATTCACTGCTTGAACCAAAAACTACCCTAATGTGTTGTAGAACAACTTTGGCATGTATGAAGGCCTTGTAAATGTTGATGATGATGATGCTTAGAAATGCCTCTCAGCATTTTGACGTAGCCTGCCTCCCAACCTACTGTATTCCCAGGAGATACCACCCCCATCTTTATTATAACAGAGGCATCCTGAAATGAAATGAGAGAGGAAGAATATCACTGAACTGGTGGACTTCTTGAAACCCCCGGCAAAAAGCCTTTTTTCAATGACGTAGGGAGCAATGGATTAATCAGTTCACAAATTGTTATGTTTGGTTGGGATGATGTGTCATGGCCCTATGTCAGAGCGCTACTCACCACACGTTTGTGGAACCCAGGGAGTTAAAAAACAACCTATGGCGACTGAGGTGTGGAGCTGGGGAAGGAGCCTATGTACGTATGTGGCAAGTGTGACTGCAAAGATAGGGAAGTGCTTAAACACAGGCTTGCAGAGTGAAAGCTTCCTTGTGGATTTGTGTTTTCTTATGATTGATTGATTGAAACAAGTTCTCCCTCAGTTGCCTAGGCTGGATTGCAGCGGTGCGATCAGGACTCATTGCATCCTCAACCTCCCCGACTCAAGCAGTCCTCCCACCTCAGCCTCCTGAGTAGCAAGGCTACAGGTGTGTGCCACCACGTCTGGTAATTTTTTCTACTTTTTTTGTGTAGAGACGAGCTCTTGCTATGTTGCTTAGACTGGTCTTGAACTCCTGGTCTCAAGTGATCCTCCCACCTTGGCCTCCCAAAGTGCTGGGATTACAGGCGTGAGGCACCATGCCTGACCCATTTGTTTTCTTTGACTTGTGTTAGAGCATCCTAGTCTAAAGAAAAAGTGGCCACACAATGTTCTTTATGTGGACTTCTGCAGGAATGGTCCTCTCACCCAGTCACCCAGTCCTGGCAATTTGCTGCCATTTTTTTTGGTCATTTTTCCTGGCTAAGTCTAGTTCCAGCTCCAGAGATTAGAATATGAAAGGATTAACCCCCCAAAATGGGATGGAGGGATGAATGAGTTGAAAGTTTTTGTTTCCCTTTTCCAAACACTGAGTTGGCTCTCATCAGCACAGCTGTCTCTGGGGATGTATAAAGCGTAATTAATACATTTTAAATGTTTGGTTTCAACTTTTTTTGCTAGTGAGATAAGATAAGGAGTTTTTGTCATGACAAGGGAAGGGGTGGATTTCTTTCTATCATTTGCAGGAGTGGGTACCACTTGGATCCTGTAGGTAGACAGTTGCATGAGATGATAAACTTTATAGGGGGCATGGAAGAAAGCCAGTGGAGATGGGGAAGGAATGGCTAGACTCTTTAGCTTCCTGACAACCAGAGGGGGAAAATGAACTTCCAGAGAATTTGGGTTTTGCCTTAAATATTGAAATTTGCTTGGGCATTTGGTCCACTTCTTAATTAACCTGGGTCCAGAACTGAATGTCTTTGCAGTCGGAGCTCAGAATTGCTTTGGTATCTCACAGTACACATAGCATTTCCCTGTTGGTGTACGGTAGGCCAAGGACCAGAGCATGTGTTGTGCTGTAGCCAAAAGGAATAGTCTCCATGACCTTATCGTTGGAGAGATCATTGGACACTGAAATAGTTGAGCATGGACACTCTAAGATGGGTGGAAATACTAGAAGAGTTATTATTAGCAGAGGGATCTATGTATCCATAAGATCCATATTTTTAATTATAATGTTCATATCTTCTATATTCTTTTTAATAAATGGTGCTGGGAAAACTGGCTAGCCATATGTAGAAAGCTGAAACTGGATCCCTTCCTTACACCTTATACAAAAATTAATTCAAGATGGATTAAAGACTTAAACGTTAGACCTAAAACCATAAAAACCCTAGAAGAAAACCTAGGCATTACCATTCAGGACATAGGCATGGGCAAGGACTTCATGTCTAAAACACCAAAAGCAATGGCAACAAAAGCCAAAATTGACAAATGGAATCTAATTAAACTAAAGAGCTTCTGCACAGCAAAAGAAACTACCATCAGAGTGAACAGGCAACCTACAAAATGGGAGAAAATTTTCGCAACCTACTCATCTGACAAAGGACTAATATCCAGAATCTTTAATGTCTTGATTTCTTTACCTGTTAATTCCTAACTGACACTTTAGTGTGTATTAAAAACTCCCGCCGTGATGGTGGAACTGTCATTTTCTTATTGTAGTTCCATCAAAGATATATAAATTATATATACATATATACAAAAATTATATATATGTACACACATATACATGTATGACTGTTTAAGCTATTTACATTTATTGTGATGTCTATATTGCTGTTATCTTCTACCATCTCACTTTATGTTTCTAGTTGTCCAACTGTTTTAATGCCCCTTTTCTGACTTCCTCTGAATAAAATGATAAGCTTTCGCTTAATTTCTTTAGTGCTTACTCTTGAATGTTTAATATGTTTACTTAGCTTAAAGTCTCAATCAGTAACATCACTTACCTTTTTAATAATATAATAAATACAGCAACTTCGGTCACACCTGACCAAGATCCCAGTTTATATGTCCCACAAAATTCATTAGGCTCTTTACCCTCACCACCCTTCTCACCACTCCTGGGCCTTGGCTGCTCACCTGAGGCATTGCTTCCTTTGGATTTTCGGTGGCTGCATGGAAGACCAGCTTATCCTTGAGTTCACCCTGACCATGGTTACATTTGTCTCTCCATGACAGTCAGTAGTGCTCTTGGGAATTCAGCGTGGCAGTTGGGACAATGGCAGGGGCTGGGGCTTTACCTCTGTGGGAAAAGTATGAAACATTGCTAGGGCTTTTCCAGCCAGAAAGCTGGGCAAGCTTTTGCCCCTAGCAAAGGATAAGTTTTATTTTAATTGTCATAAGTGTGTATTTAACTGGGCCAAGGAGGATTGGAAGTGCTGGGGAAAGCATTCAGTTGTAATACATTCCTTCAGCTTTACCCCCAAATGTTTTAATTTGAAAATTTCCAAGCATATAGAAAAATTGAAATAATTTTATAGTGAGCATCCATAGAATGGATTTCTTTGAGTTTATCCTCCTTGGGGTTTTCTCAGATTCTTAGTCTGTAGGTTTATGCCTTTTTTCATATTTGAAAATGTTTCAGCCAATTACCACCTAGATTTCACAATTGGTCTTTTACTATACTTGCTTTCTCACAGTCATCCATCAATCTATCCTTCCAACATTTTTAAAAATGAAAATTTGCAAACATACAGAATAATAGAAAGAATAGTACAAAACACACCCTCAGATTATCCTCATAGAGTCAACAATTGACAATGTTTTATTCTATTTGTTTCCCTCTCTGTCTTTCTCTCTGAATCATTTGAAAGTCAGTTCCACACTTCATTATATTTCATCCCTAAATATTTCAGCACATATCTCTTAGAAATAGACATTATCCTACATAACCACATTATTATGACACTAAAGAAAGTTAACAATTTTATATCATTTCATGATCAAATGTTCCATCTATATTTGTTTCTCCAAATTTTCCAACCTCTTGTATTTTTAAAAATCAGAAACCAATAAAACTTCTTACATTGCATTAGTCTTTAGTGTCTTTTAATCTAGAACAGTCACCTGTTTTAAAAATGTTTTTTATTTTGAAATAATTATAGATTTACAGAAAATTACAGAGTGGTTCCATACACACTTCACTCCATTTCTCTCAGTGGTTAGTTACATCTTGCATAATGATAGTACAATATCATACCAGAAAATTGATATTGATACAATGAGTGTGTGTAGTGTTATGCTATTTTATCACATGTTTAGATTCCTGTAACCACCACTACAATCAAGATATGGAACTATTTCACTAGTTAAAACATTTTAACAGTTTGAGAAAAGTGTAAAAACCTGACCTCCCTTTAAGCTCCTTTATCCTCCCTGTTTATGGCACATTGGCCTTAAATATTTCTTCTACATACATTGAGATCCACATTACACAATGCTAAGTTTTTGCTTTGACCATCAAAGTAATTTAGAGAAATCAAGAGGAAAGGTAAAGTTTATTGAATTTCACCATGTTTTTGCTTTTTCCATTGTTCTTTTTTTCTTCTTGATGTTCCAAGTTTCCTTCTTTTATTATTTCCTGTTTTGAGAACTTATCTTCTTTAGCCATTCTTTTAGGGTAGGTATGCTGGTGACAAATCCTTTTAGTTTTCCTTCTTCTGAGTATGTCTTTTTGCTCCTTCATTCTTGAAGGTTAATTTCACCAAGAATTCTAGGTTGACACTTACTTTCTTTCAGCATTTGAAAAATGTTATTACTTCCTTCTGGCTTCCATGGTTGCTAATCAGAAATCCACTGTCATATGAATTGTTTTTCTCCTATACGTAAGGCGTCATTTTTCCAATGCTACCCTCCTCTCCTCTCCCCTCCCCTCCCTCCCTTCCCCTCTTTTTTTGAGATGGAGTTTGGCTTTTGTCACCCAGGCTGGAGTGCAATGGTGTGACCTCGGCTCACTGCAACCTCTGCCTCCCAGGTTCAAGCGATTCTCCTGCCTCAGCCTCCCAAGTAGCTGAGATTACAGGCACCAGCCACCATACCCAGCTAATTTTTGGATTTTTAGTAGAAACGTGTTTTCACCATGTTGGCCAGGCTTGTCTCGAACTCCTGACTACAGTTGACACCTGCCTCAGCCTCCCAAAGTGCTGGGATTAGAGGCATGAGCCACCACGCCTGACTTCCAGTGCTGCTTTCAGATTACTTTCTTTGTCTTTAGTTCTTCAATTTTCAGAAGTTTGAGTATGATGGTTCTTGGTATAGATTTCTCTCAGTTTATCCTCCTCAGGATGTTCTCAGATTTTTAAATCTGCAGGTTTATGCCTTTTTCCATATTTGAAAATTTTCCAGTCATTATTTCTTCTAATGCTTTTTCAGCTCCACTTTCTTCTCTGCTTCTTAGACTCCAATGACACAAATATTAGAATGCTGTTTTCCCACAGGTACCTGAGGCTCTGTTCATTTTTTTCAGTCTATTTTCTCTCTGTTTTTCAGATTGGGTAATTTCCATTGTTCTATTATCTAGTTCACTGGTTCTTCCCTCTGTCCCCTCCATTCTGTTGTTGAGCCTATCCACTGGGATTTTTAGAAAATTTTAATTATTGAATTTTTTAAATTCTAAATTTCCATGTGGTTCTTCTTGATATATTCTATTTCCGTATTGAGACTTCATATTTTTAATTTGTTTCTAGTGTTTGTAATTGCTAATTGGAGCATTTTTATGTTGGCTGCTTTAAAATTTGTGTCAATAATTCCAGCATCTGTGTCATCTTGATGTTGGTGTCTGTTGATTATCTTTTCTCTTTAAAGTTAAGATTTTCCTGGTTCTTGGTGTGACCTGATTTTCCATCATTTTCTTGGAATTTTGGGTACTATGTTATGAGATTGGGTTTTGCTTAAATCTTTCTTAGCAGGCCTCCTCTGATGCTGCTCATTTGGGAAGAAGGACGTACTGCTTTGCTACGTGACAGGGTGAAGGTCTAGGCTCCCCTCCAGGCCTTTGGGGACACCTCCCATGCTCAGAGGGGTAGAGGTGCTTTTTTACTGATCCTCATGTGGCTTCTACTAGGAGGTAGGTGAAAGGCCTTGTTATCTCTGGGTGATGGTGAAAGTTTGACTGTTCACTCAGTCTTCTCAGGCATCACTTGGGTGGGACAGGGAGGGGTGCCCTGTTACAGCTGGAAGAAGATGGAAGTCTAGGCTCCCTACTCAGTCTTTGCTAAGTGGTAACCTGTCGCTTTATGAGTCTCTGTCTGATTGCATAAGTGAAGAATTACTGGCCTTATAGAAATATACACTAAGTGATTGGTAGATTTCTTCACAAATTCTTACTTCCTGGGGATAGGATGATCTAAGATGTTCCCGTTATTCTTAGATGATCCTGGGTTTCCACTCTAATGTACTGTGATATTTTAAGTTTCACAATGCACAATCATCCTTTTATATGTTGACATAAAATGCCCTGGAATGGTCTTATTATAAAATTATAGAACCTTCATCTATCTCAAATGTTGGAATTTAAGTTCCCTGTGGATAAAAAAGAACAATTGATATTTGTAGATTAGCTGCAATCTGTTGAATTTTGACACAGTAGAGTCTTGCATTATTTTGTTTATGAAAAGAGAAAATCTAATGATTCTAGTGGCATGGTTTTCTTTTACACCCTACTCCTTTGTTTGATTTTCAGATCACAGTTTTTAACGTAAATTTGTCCATAAAACTGTAAGCCTCATTAAATTTTTGGCAGTGGAATTTCAGGAATCTATTTACATTTTCCTAAAATATTAGGTTAGTTTTTTTCAGTGTAAAAATACTTCCTAAGGGGATAGAATTTTTTTCTCTTCTAAAATTGTGCCTCTAGATTTCTTAGTGTAGTTTTGATCAGGAGGAGAAATAATTATCAAAGGAAAAACTTTTTTTTGGTTAATATTTTTATTAAGATTTATGTATTCCAGATTATGGACTAAGTGTGGGCATTATACAAATTGAGAGGAGCGGTCCCTATGTTTTCCAGGTATATATTGTTATGACATAAAGTTGATTTCAGTAAGTCTGGAAAGACTTAAGTAGATAGCCTGGATAAACAGAGCTAGGAGGCAGGGAACCTTGGTCTCAGTGCAGATTTTATTGCTGAACTTTCTTCAGTCATCTTAGTCAAATCCTGTAGCATCTCTGGACCTCAATTCTTACCTGTCAATGAGAATAAAAACACCTATCTTTTCTAACTTCTACAGTTTCTGCCTGAGAAAATTTAAATATGTGCCATAAACATAGATAACATTGCTAAAGACGGCTTACCTCTTTTTATTTATTCTTTAAAATAATCTGCAAACACTACCAGTTTTTCAGCTGCTTTTGGTTTCAAAAATGTCTCAGAGCAAAGAGAATTAAAAAAAAAAACCTGCGTGGGATAGTTTTAAAAAAGTTTTAGACTTCATTTCCAAGATTTACTATCTCCATTTTTGCTATTAGTGAGAACCGAATTTATTTTTCTTTCCTGAATACTCTGATCTTTTAGTTGTCCTGGAGCTAGTTGTGTCACCTATGAAGATTTAGGCAGAAAAAAGCCTTGCACGTAGTTTAGAGAACTGTGTGGTAGACATCCCTGGATTAAAATAGCTGTAATCAGTAAATCAATCTCACGTTTAGGAATATGCTGAAGTGTGTGGATATTCTGACTTGATCCAGAAACAGAATAAAACCAAATCAACTGCTTTCAAAGTAAGAACAATTGCAAAAACAAAAATTTTGAAATACTGAACATAAAGGTTTGAATTGTAAATATTTGTTTCTAGAGAAACAAAAGAAATTGCACTCATTTCTAATTTCAGGGGAAGAGAGCTCAGTGGTAGTTAGGCCACACCGACCTTGTTGGTGTGTTAAAATGGGAATTTTCACATAAGGTTATCTGTATGAGACAAGGAACCCTGTACCACCCCCGTGGTGGGCAGGAACTCTCCTTCCATCTGTAGACTGGTTCTTAGATGTGGCTCAGAACTGACACACACACACAATCCCCGCAGATTTTGTCTTCTATTCATAATCATCAGAGTTTGAAATTAGGGAGTGAGCCAAAACTAAGTATTACAGGTATTTTAGCTGTGGTTGTTAGGTCCTCTCACAATTAGTTGCTAAATATATTTTTGACTGACAGGAAAAAATGTAAAATGTCTAGAGTTTTCTTTGAATCTCTAATATCGACTTATTTCCCTGCTATATAAATTATTCTGAGCAGCATAATGTGTACAGGCCAGAAAGGCATGGCGCCTGAATATCAGTGACCAAGAAAGAATCTTCAGAGCTGCTAATATAACCTCTGAGGAGCCCAGGGGAAAAAATCCATTCTGCCCTTTTCAGTTTGTTGGTTTTATTATTTTTCACTAAGAATGATTGTCCTAGGCCTACCTGACTGACACCAGGTCCATCGAGGTGCTTGGAACACCGCCGCCCCCCCCCAACCCACCCTCCTGCAGACACATAGCAAAGAGAGATGGGTGCACAGCTGGCTTTGGCTTGGTGCCTCCTTTGGCCCTAGGGGTCCACTTACCCCTGGCATAGGAGGCATGCATCTGCATCTGGATCATGAACAAAACTGTCTCACCTTGATTTCAGAAATACGTGCGAGAGTTTCACCCTTTGAGAACCAACCACCCACCTCTCACTTGAGCTCTCCTTAGCTGCTTTCCAAGGAGCCTAGAGTCCCTCACTTTCTCATGAGAATCCTTCCTTCCTTCCTTAGTAAGAGATGATGTTTATTATAGAATGCAGACCTATGGGGAGGGGATATTCTATATAGCTACCATTTGTTGAATCCTTACCATATCTGAAACATTGTGCCAAGAGATTTGCAATCACAAATATTCCCATTTTTTTAAATGAGGAAACTGAGGCTCAGAAGTACATTTTTGTACAAGATAACAAAGTTAGTAAATCATAGAACCAGCCTTCAAATCCAGATTCTTCAGACTCCAAAATCCATGGGCTCCCAGGACCCTGTACTGCCTCCCTGTAACTGAGATTCATTGAGGGGAGGCCCTGGCCTGACAAATGAGGAGTGCTGGGCTCTGACCTCCTGCTGGTGAGGAAGAAAGCAGCTAAGAGGTCCTGGGCTGAGAAAGCTTTGCCTCACCAGGTGCTCTGAGTGCTGGCACAGGAAGGATGAAAGCGGAAGTCCAAGCACAAAGTGGAAGTCTTCCTCCTGCTTCACAGGGTAGCCTTCCGGGGTGTCTCATTCAGGAGGGAGCCCATCCTGGGAGAAGGAAGAGAGCAGAAATGTGGCCAACCCCTGCCTGCACTAGGGACCTCATGCTTGTCTTTCTTCAGAAGAGGATGATGCTTGTTTGAGAGGGTGGCATAGTGTTTATGATGTTATACTGCATTTCTGTTCCTTTCACTAGCTGGAGTATGAGCTTGTGAACCTGAAAAATGTTGGAGCACCTCAGCTGGGAATGTCAAGGGCTAACAGAGGTGGCAGTGAGGCCTCAGATGGGTTTCAGGTTGCCGTCTTGATGGGACATGGCTTAGACTTTCCATTGCCCTTCAGAGTTTCTTCTTTAGCCAGGTTCCTTATACTAATGATCCGTATGATCAGTATGGCTGAAATATAGCTGAAGAAGGCAGTCAGCATATAGTGTCACCCAGACCAGACTTTTTCAGGATGCAGCCTGAAACTTTTTTACCTTCTCAGTCTGGTCCAGGGACTTCTCCAATGTACTTCTATAAAAGCTGTGACTTAACATTTCTGATGCTATATTACAAATATCTGCTTATAGACTGCAGGCTCCTTGAGGACATGAGCCAATTCTGCTTATCTCAGCATTCCCTGTGCCTTTTGTGGCACCTGAGCTTGAGAAGGTGTTCCTAGCTAAGCCGGACTTTGGAGGAGAACAGCCTTGGTCCAATTACAGAAATGAGGAAACTTCAAGGTAAAGAGGGGTGACTGGTTAATTGTGCTCCTGGGAAAAACATGCTTCTGATCATTAGGTTGAGAATGAGAACTGTGTGTTTAAAACTGGAGTAAAAAGAACAATCTACTGGTAGCCCTGACGGCAGCCAGCATGAAGGGGCTGCCCAGAAGGGACATTTTTGGAAGTGCGAACAAAAGCTTTGCTCTAGGACATCCTAGATTGCTTTTCCAAATAATTATAAGATGCGATGAAGGCTGCACCTTTTATTTCCATTTTATTCTGTTTAGGATGAAACATTTTAAATAAAAGTCCTGAAAATTTAGAAGGCAAATAAAGCAATCCTGCTAGTTTAATGAAGTCAAAGCTGTAAATGCAGCTTTTATGGAGTGTCAACCACTCCCTGAGGAACCTGGTAGCTAGAGGGAAAGGAGGGGGAGGGGCATCCTTTGACTCATCCCAAGGGGCCAGAACCTTTTTTCACTTTTCTGTAGCAAGTAGGGCTTCTAGAGAGGAGAGCTCTGCTAGTAAGGAATGATCCAGGGCCCTCTGGCCTGTGAATTTTTCCTTCAAGTGGCCTTACTTTCTTTCTGCATGATGAGACTGGAGGCATGGCATGGCTCTTTGAAAACCACCATCCCTTTGGGTTGGTGACCTTCTCCCTCTGGTACCTGTGTGCCAAGGGGGTGTATGGAAGACAGGCTTCTGTCCAGTGCCCTCTGTGGTATGTGGCCTATCTACAGCACTAGTCAGAATGCAATGGATAGAGGGCCACTCTGTACCCTGGGGTGTTCTTTCAGTAATCCTCTCATCACAGTCACCTCCAAAGGCTGCTCGCCCTGACAGTGGGGATGTGATGGGCAGGCTGTCAAATAGATTGTGAGTGCATTAGCAGGATTAGCAGTGAAGGCTAATATTGTAGCATTTCCAAAGTTCATTCACGGCAGCTGCTTGGCTGCCAAATTGGGCAGGCGCAGGCTTCAGAATTAATGTCACATCTGGGATGGCCCTGATGTGGTCAGAGGCACAACAGTCCCATTGTGTTTGACTTGTGTTTATGTATTTTTATTCTATAACAGAGTTTAATTTGTAACATTAGTAGAAAGATACCGTCTAAGTGTTCTTTTCCATCTTATTGATGAACTAGCTGAAATACTTCTGCCACCCTTCAAAACCAGATGCTTTGTTTTTGGTAGTTCTTGGAGTATTGTTGATTTTATTTCTGCTAGTGAAAGTAATATACCTTCATTTGGAAAAATTTGATCAGAGAAGTACAAGGGAGCCATTTAAAATGCTCAGTCCTTTTACTATATAGATATTACCTCTGGTGCCATATGTATTTCCATGTGATTTTCCTATGGTGCATATATATTAAAGAAAATGGTGATCATACAATATATTTGGGATTGTTTCCCTTTTAAAACACTGAATATGGCTGGGCACGGTGGCTCACGCCTGTAATCCTAGCAGTTTGGGAGGCCGAGGCGGGTGGATTGCCTCAGCTCAGGGGTTCGAGATCAGCCTGGGCAACACGATGAAACCCCGTCTCTACTAAAATACAAAAAAATTAGCCAGGCGTGGTGGCACGCACCTCTAGTCCCAGCTACTCAGGAGGCTGAGGCAAGAGAATTGTTTGAACCTGGGAGGCAGAGGTTGCAGTGAGCTGAGATCGTGCCATTGCACTCCAGCCAGGGTGACAGAGTGAGACTCCGTCTCTAAAATAAATAACTAAATAAATAAATACACACTGAATATTATATCATGAACATTTTCCATTTTTTGCACTTTTAGTGAAAATACAAAATTTAGTTACTATCAAGTAGTTTATATGAATATATTTGTATTAGTGTTCTATTGATGTGTAACAAATTACTACAAATTTAGCACCTTAAAACAATACTCAATTATTAGCCCACAGTTCTGTAGGTCAGAAGTCTTGCATGATATGACTGAGTTCCCTGCTCAGGGTCTCACAAGGGCAAAATCAAAGTGTCAGCTGGGCTGAGTTCTCTGGAGGCTCTGAGAAGAATTGCTTTCAAGCTCATTCTTGGTAGCAGAATTAAGTTCCTTAAGTGTGTAGAACTGAGGTCCTGGTTTCCTTGCTGGCTTCCTATTCTTAGCAGCTGAAGCCACCTGCCTTCTCTGCCATGTGGCCCCTCTATCTTCAAGCCAGCATTGGTGCATTGAATTTTTATTGTGTTTTGAATCTTTGACTTCCTTTTCTGTGATCTGCTGGAGAGAACTGTTCACTTTAAAGGGCTTATATGGTTAGGGCAGGCACACAGAATAATCTCCCCCGGCTTAAGGTCAACTGTGTCAGATAACATAATCTAATTAGGAGAGTGCAATCCATCACATTGATAGTTTCCAGGATTATGCAGGATATGTACACTAGGGACAGGGAATCTTGGTAGCCATCTTATATTTCTGCCCACCACAATATTATATGTAATAGTTTTTGTATTTTCAGAATTTGTTTATTTCCACTTTCTTCTTATTATAAATAATGTTTTGGGTGAAATGACATTTTGTAATTTGCATTTTCTAATGAAGTTAAACATTAATTTTCATATGTTTTTTGACCATGTATATTTCTTCTTATGTGAATTATTCCTTGCTGTTCTTTTTTACAGTATTTTTTCTAATTGATATATAATGCTTTTTCAATAGTAAGGTTACTAAGCCTTTGCTGATTTAAAAAAAATTGTTTATTGAAAGGAGTCACACTATGTTGCCCAGACTAGTCAATAAGCAATCCTCCCACTTTGGCCTTCCAGAGCACTGGAATTACAGTTGTAAGTCATTGTGCCTGGCCCCAGCTGCTAATTTTATCACAAATATTTTACCTTTGCTTACTTTTTGATGCACAAATATTTTAAACATATATATACACAATTCTACCTGTATCTTTCTTTTTCTTTCTGCCTTTGGAGTCATTTAGAAAGTCCTTTTGTACCCCAAAATTTTAGAAGTATTGAGTTACATTTCTGTGTTACTTTTAGAGACTTATATTATTTGTGTTTAAACTTTTATGTATATGAAATTTATTTTCTATGTAGTATTAGGTACATAGTTAAATTCCCCCTCCCCCAAATTGTTAACCAGTGATTCTAATGAAGTAACTTATCCTTTGCTTTCTGATTTCAAATGCCATTTTTGTACTTGACACATTTGAGTTGCCTTTTATTCTGTTCAATTTTTCTATTTTGCAGACTAGTATAAGACCCATGTTCTTACAATGATTATAACTTTGAAATAAATTTAAATGTTTTGCAATACCAATTCCTCCCTGTGATCTTTGGTTTTCAGTATTTCACTGGCTATTTTACCCTTCTGCTTTCAGGAAGTTTAGAATGAATTTAAATTGCTAGTGGAATTTTATTTGAAGTGCATTGATTTTTATAGAATTTATTTTGAAGAGGTTATATTTTTGCCATATATAGTCTTCCCATTCCAGAAATATGGTTTCTATGCTTATTAAAATTGTCTTTTCTATTTCCCAGTGAAGTTTTATTTTTCTATTTTAATACAATTTTAAATTTACAGAAAACTTGCTGAAATATTAAAAATAGTTTTTCCCCTGAACTATGAGGATAAGTTGCCAATATGACACCCTTTTACCATTGAATATTTTGTGTAATTCTGACAAATAAGAACCTTCCATGCCTGGTGCGGTGGCTTATGCTTGTAATCCCAGCATTTTGGGAGGCGGAGGCGGGCGAATCACCTGAAGTCAGGAGTTTGATACTAGCCTGGCCAACGTGGTGAAACCCCATCTCTACTGAAAATACAAAAATTAGTCGGGCGTGGTAGCAGGCACCTGTAATCTCAGCTACTCAGGAGGCTGAAGCAGGAGAATTGCTTGAACCCAGGAGATGGAGGCTGCAGTGAGCCGAGAGATCACTCCACTGTACTCCAGCCTGGGAGATAGAGTGAGACTCTGTCTCAAAAAACAAAAAACAAAACAAAAAAAACTTCCATTCAACTATCAAAATCAAAATCAGAAAATTAACACTGATATATTACTGCCATCTAACCTGCAGATCTCATTCAAGTTTCACCAATTTGCCTAACAATGGCTTTTATAGAAAAAGGATCCAAGTCATGATCTTATATTGCATTCAGTTGTCATGTGTCTTTAGTCTCCTTCAGTCTCAACTTGTTTCTTAGTCTTTCCATGACTTTCATAATCACAACAATTTTGAAGATGATAGGCTGATTATATGGTAAAATGTCCCACCTTTGGGACTGTGTAATAAGTCCTCATGATTAGATTTGGAGAAGTGATGCTGTGCTTTTTTGGGGTATGGTAAGGTTAAGAATCATTATACAATAGCTACAAATTGTTGAACACATACTATATAAAATACACTTCACTAGGCACTTCACATATTTTAGCTCTTATAATCCACACAAGCACACTAAAAAGTGAGTATTATTGTTCTTATTTTATAGATGAGGAATCTGAAGCTAAGAGAAGTTAAGTGATTTGTCTAATGTCACTTAGTAAGCTGCAGAACTGAGCCCAGGTCTCAGGCCTGTGTCCCTCCCAGCCTGTGCCTTGTGCCCTGCACCGTGCTGCCAAGTTGACTCCTATCTTGAACCTGCCTGGGGAATGTCAACATGGGCATCACACAAGAACACAGGAAATCCCACTTTCGTAAATATTCTCCAGACTCAACACTTACTAGTTGTATGGCTTGGACAACTAAGTTAATTTTCCTTGGCTTCATTCATTCATTCATCGACTTAATGATTACTTCTTGAGCACTTAGACACAGGCAGTGTTCTAGGCCCTGGAATTACAGCAACGTAAGACAAAGTCCTTGTGGAATCTGTCTTCTAGGATAGCTCTAGTTTCACTATTTGTAAAATGGGGTAATTAAAATATATGCATAATTGAATTGTGAAGAATAAATAAAATCATTCATGTAATGAGCTTAGCCCAGTGAAGATACATCATAATTTAATGTGTCAGCTATTATGTAAAGATCATGAACAGTGAGAAGCCGATCCAACTCTTGACTCAGTGACAGTGCTCTGAGATAAGGAGGGAGATATAGGATGGGGGAGGCCTGCAGCCTAGGAAGCACACTTTTTCCAGATCTGGGATCAAAGCACAAAGCTGGAAGATAATGATCTCAATGAGGACATTGGCAAGGCCTCCCAAAAAGCAGAGCCTAGAGGACACACATCAACACCAATTACTTGTTCAGCATGTGCTTCTCTGCTCTGATTGCCCAGAGCTGTGGCCAAGGATTCCACATTGCATAGCAAAAAACAAACAAACAAAAAACAAACGGTGAGGACTAAAGGCAATGTAACACAAGTTGGAGTGTGTGGAGAGCATTGCTGTTTTTAAATTTTGGTTTTCTTAAATGGCTCACTGTCTTAGATGCCTATCTTAAATTCCCACACCTTAACATGTGGTATTAACTCCAACAGAAAACATGCAACCAGCCAAAAGCCAACATAGTTTAAGAAATTTAATATTTTATATGCATCACATTTTAGAAAACTGTTTTTTTTTATTTTTGTGGAGGAATGGGGTAACCACCACTGGACATTTTACTTTGCCTCAGGGATACAGTTCTGAAACTTGGAGTTTATACCATAACTTGGCTAATCTGCTCAGATTCAGCATCTGTAACTCCTTTAAGTGGCATTTAGTATTATGACAGGAAATCTTTACTGTTTTTCTATTATGAAGAAACATTAGTAGACTGTATTGTAATATGTGTTCAAATTGGGTTACCGTCTCTGATGAACTGCAGAAGAAATGGAAACAGATAGTGAGTGGAACAGGGATGCTGGTGCAATCAATCCCCAATCTCACAGCACGCACCTTGGGGCCCACAGACTGAGGGTCACATCTTCCTAGAGTTTCCTGAGATGGAGAAAATGATTTCTTTCTCTCAGTTGGTGCAATGCTTACATGGGACAATGTGTGCAATTAACCTGGCACACAGTAGTTATTCAGCAAAAATAATTTCCATTGTTATCTCCTGTTTTATGAATTCAGCTTTCTTCAGAATTTTAAAAAAAGCAGTTATAAATTAAACCACATTGGTTTCTTATTCATAGCTGGAGGGCCTGGCACATAGAAGGTGTGATCATGGGAGTCTGTGGGATGAATTATTTGTGGTGCTTGATGGAAAAGTGTTTCCTGGCCAACTCCCTTATTGGCAGCAGCAGGGGGTAGGTTTGGTGGTTCTGTGATGTCTCCCAACTCTGGAGCTGTGCACACAGACAGGCTAGACTCTTCCTGGCTAAGGCTCATGGGAGAGTTATTCTTGTTTCAGTTTGGGCAAAAATTCTATGCACATGCTCTGCCTTTAAATTCACTTTTCAGATACTTGGCTTCATTCTATGTGCCTGAAACTTTACCAGAATTTAGGAATTCAGGGAAGAATTAGACACCTTTAGGTAGTCAATAATTAGGTACCAGGGAAACTTATGTGCACAGATACACCCATGCATACATCAACATATGCATGTGTGTGTATGTGTGTGTGTGTGTGTGTGAGCATATATATTATATATATATGTATTTATTTATATATATATGTGGAGGTGGTATCCTAAGGTAAGGGGAAACAATGTGGGAGACTCAAAGTTGTGAGTGTGAGAGTGTGGGGACCACGGCAAAATTGGGATCCATGGTCCCACAAGAACACAAGTTCATAAAAAGTCAAAGAAATGATGCTTAAGTCTGGGGTTGTCCAAGATCAAGGTTGCCTTCTGGACCAGAAGAATCAAGGTTGCCTTCCAGTCTCACAGGAACACAGGTTCATGGAAAGTCAAAGGAATGTTGCTTAAGTTTGGGCCTGTCCAAGAATCAAGGCTGTCTTCTGTAGGTGGGAGGAGGACCAAGAGAGATGCCTGCTCCGAGTTGTGGGAGATAAGGAAGGGGTGGGAGAAGGCTGAGTGTCACTGGGCAGGGAAGGGATCTGGAGAAGGAAAAGCCTGGGTCTGGAAACATGGTGAGTTGTGAAGAGTAGGCCTGGCTGCAATCTTGTCCAAGCAGGGAGATCAAAGAGCCTCTGCTAGGTTTAAGAAAATGAGACACACATCCTTGGGGAGCCAGGTGCTTCTGTGGCCAAGGACTCTGCAGCTTGTCTGTCTGGCTCTTAGATACATAGCTGAGAACAGACATGCGGGACTGATTAGAAAACTGCAATACTTGGGAAAAAATGTAGACATCAGAGACATGAAAATGGAAACATTCAAATGTTTGTGAATGGAATGTGCCTATCGTTGTGGTTTATGTGCCCTGGAGACCTTGCGAACAACCCATCCGTACGCCTGGGGAGAACTTGTCTCCAGAGGCCCCTTCCCTCTCACTTGCACAGTCATAGGCTTTCCTTGGATGCACCTGATGCTTATCATATTTTCTCCTCTGAGATAGAATCTTTTTCTACTGGTTTTTATCCAGTAGTGGGCTAGAGGCCCCCTAAACTGAGGGCTCCATCAGACACTCAAGAGGAAATCTTACATAGTTTGTAAGACATACATACATGTCTTTGCGCTTTCAGCACGATCATATCAAAAGTCTCTTTTGGCTCTTGATATTGATTAAACACATTTTCTAGTGCATTTAGTAATTATCTGAAGCCCCTTCATATGGAGTTTACCATTTGTGTGTGTGGGCATGTGTGTGTGTGTGTGTGTGTGTGTGTGTGTGCGTGTGTGTCTCTACTCTGCCCACCTCCGACTGATGGGACATATGTAACCTTGTAGAAGGAGATCTGGGGTTAGTATTGGAGAACCTGGGTTTGAACTTCTTTTCTGCCACTGTATGCAGGTACAGATATATAGCAAAAGGATAAAGGACTTAGTCTAAAGGCTTATTAGTTGTCTATGTTTGGCAAATTGTTTAATCTCTCTAAACAATAGATTCTTCATTCATAATATATAATTTGTAAATATTCATTAATAAATACATAATTTATATTCATAAATATATAAAGAAATAATAATACCTGTCTTGGAGAATTCCTGAGAGGATGAAACATAGGAACAAATACATTAGTACAAAGTTTGGCACATATTAAATATTCAGTAAATCTCACCTGTTATTATTATTGCTGTTTTTTGACCCAAGCTAATGTAATGTGGATACATTCTGGGTATAATTAGAGCATACGTTAAATATTTTTTGGGGGGGGGCACAAAAACGCACACATTGCTGTCCATAGTGCTGAACTATCATAGCACAGGGGTTGGCTGTCCCTCCTAATCCTAGGCCACTGCTGATGGCTGTGCAGTCTCTCCCAGGAATTCTGAGCCAGGGATGTTGAATGAAGCAACCAGAATGGTAGAGAAGTAAACTAACAGTGGCTTTTGCATAAGTCACTGAGAAATTTCTAGGGGAGAGAAAAAGGGGCTTTTTTGTATCTTTTACATGTTTATATTACCCAAGAATAAATCCAAACTCACATGGCTTAAATGGCCATGAAGGTAAGACGTGTTTTATGTGATGGAGGGTTGAAGTGTTAGTGTGAAGGGTGAGTTCAAATAGTAAGCAGAACCCTAAAGGAGTAGAGATTGTTGAAATGAAGTGTCATAATCAGTTGGGTTAAAACAGTACTTTAATATATATTTTGAAATTTTGGCTCAATGAAATATTTGTAATTGTCAAACTGTCAAAGATCAAATAAAACCGTTACCATGTATATGGCCAATTTCATGTAACATTGAAAATTCAAACATATTTCTGAGTGTAATAAGTTTTTTTTGGAGAGTCTGATAGCTTTAATGAGCAGGTATCTTTCCCACATTCCTTTCCTTGGGTACTCTGGTGATGACTCTGGGTATATGGTTTCCTCTGGGCCTCATTTTCCCATTCCCCTCTTCTTATATTTCCTAACGTCCTTCCATTAGTCAATCCATCCATCCACCAATTAACCAATTACTAAGCACACAATTATAGAGCATCTATTGAGTGTTGTATACACTGGTGCTCTGTTTGCCTCAAGAGAGTAGCTTGTCCAATCTACCTTCTATCATGACAAACTCTCTCCTTTGTCCCAGTCCCTCCAGAATCTGCTGGTTCTACATTCATTCCCTCATTCAGCAACATTTACTGAGCACTTACTGTAGGTCAGATATTGTTCTAAGCAATAAATATGGCCATAAATACTGTTATCTAGTGTCTGGATTGTTGAAATAGACATATGATCAGCTCCCTGTTTCCACCATCGGCCCCCTATAGTTTATTATCAGTAAAGTCAGAGGTCTTTTTAAACCTAAGGCATAACATGTTATTCCTCTGCTCCTAGTTCTCCCAATAGCTTTCCATCTCGCTTAGTCAGGAGTAGTGGAGGAGATGATGAGAAGTTATATTTTCTATGCCTATTTTAGTGACAGAAACCATAGAAGTTGTGATAGATTAGATATAGGTTATAAGAGAAAAGAGGAACAAATGCTGTCTCCAAGGATCTTGTTTTTAACAACTGGAAAGAGATTTGCCCATTAGTGAGTTGGAGGAGACTAAGACAAGCATATTTGGAGATAAAAATTTCAAATCTGATTTTGGATATGATAAAGTTGAGGTACCTATTTAGTATTTAGAGATACTGAGAAAGCAGTTTGATATGTAAGTCAAGTTTTGGTTGAAGACACACATTTTGGAGCCATTAGTAGATAAAATGCATTTAAAGCCATGAGTCTGTATGAGATTGCCCAGATAGATAGACTAGATAGATAGATGATAGATAGATAGAAGATAGATAGATAGATAGGTAGATAGATGATAGATAGAAGATAGATGATACAGATGGCTAGCTAGATAAGGAAGAATTAGAGGTGAAAATTCACTTCTAGGAATCACAGAAGGTCTTGATAAAAGCTGTTTTAGTACAATAGTGGAGTCAAAAGCCTGAGTAAATTGTGTTCAAAAGGGATTAAGAA